>NC_000004.12:79981987-80133502 GCF_000001405.40 Homo sapiens | reverse complement strand
CCCAAAAAGAATACTTTAAAAAAATCACAACTCTTGCCAGGTGCGGTGACTCACATCTGTAATCTCAGCATTTTGGGAGGCTGAGGCCGGCGGATGGCTTGAGGCCAGAAGTTCAAGACCAGCCGGGCCAACATGGTGGAACCCTGTCTCTATCGAAAATACAAAACTTAGTCAGGCATGGTGGCATGCGCCTGTAATCCCAGCTACTTGGGAAGCTGAGGCATGAGAATCACTTGAACCACAGGAGGTGGAGGTTACGGTGAGCAGAGATCATGCCACTGCATTCCAGCCTAAGCGACAGAACAGGCTGTCTGTTTTTTTGTTGTTGTCTCAAAAAAAAAAAAAAAAAAGAAAGCAACTCTTTTATGCTTTACATATTTTGCATAGCATAAGTTTTTAAATTCTACTACTTGTAATTTATTAGATATGTATTTGTTCAGGCAATTTCCCAGGCTACTTTGTGGAAATTGGAATGAAATATTTGGAATCCATATGGATTTAAGGCTCTAGTTTAGACTAACGTTCTCAACATTTTTAAGGTCTTGAATACAGCCATTGGTTTGTCAGGACAATTTAATGAGTTTTATTACATTTACACACCCATATATCCACCACCACAATCAAAATGTAAAATGTTTCCTTCACCCTACCTTCTGTTCCTTACAGCCAATGCCCCCATACCCAGAGGCAACCACTGATCTGATTTCTATTGCTATAGATTAATTTTGCCTTGCCTAGAACATGTAAAAGTGAGATGACACAGTACGTATGCTTTTGTTTCTGCCTTCAGCCAGCAAAATATTTTAGATTTATCCATGTTATTGTATTAGTAGTTTCTTCTTATTGCAACTCTGTAGCATTCCATTGAATGAATGCATTGTTATTTGCTTATCCATTCACCTTCAGATGGACATATAGGTTCTTACCAGTTTGGGTTTATTATGAATAAAGCTGCCATGAATAACTGTGTGTAAGACTCTGTGTCCATTTCTCTTGGGAATGTACTTAGAAGTGGAATTGCTTGGTCATAGAGTAAATGTATGTTTAACTTTATAATAAATTATCAAATTACTTTTCAAAGTAGTAATACCTTGATTTTTATTTCATAATCTCTGGATTCATTTTCTTGTTGCCATTATGACAAATTACCATAAATTTAGTGCTTTTAAACAACTGGTATTAATTATCTTACAGTCCTGAAAGTCAGAAGTACAAAATTAATCTTAGGGCTTGCTCCTTATGGAGGCTCTGAGGAGAGAATCCATTTTCTTGTCTTTTTAAGTTTCTAATGGCTACCTGCATGTCTTGGCTCACGATCACTACAGCATGTTGCTTCTGTCTTCACATTTCCTACTCTCTCTTTAATCTCCGAACTCCTTCTTTTGGGGAAGAATCCCTGTGATTACCTTAAGCCTGCCAAGATAATCCAGGACATTCCCTTATCTCAAGATCCTTAACTTAAATCACATCTACAAAGTCCCTTTTGGCACATAAGGTAATAGTCACAGGTTCTGCGGATTAGGATGTGGATATATTAGTGGGCCATTTTTCAGCCTACTACAGGCTCTAACTTTCTAATTGAATAGTTTTAATCAGAATACCCATATAGCCAAAACTCTGAGGTACATACAAAGTTTTTGGTATCACCTCCTCAGGCTTAATAGCTACTATTAATTGATGGCTACCATATGCCAAATGCTGTGCTGAGTACTTTGCACATAATCTTAACTCACACAACTATCCTGTCATATGATTTTAAATGTCCCCAGCTTAAGATGAAAAGACTGTGCAGACTTTTGTACAAGGTCACAGCATAACAGAGCTAGGATTGAAACCTGTTGCAGCTTTACATAAAGTCTATACTGTTAACTACTATGATTCATTGCATTTATCTCATTCAGTGTTTCTTATAATTTTTACTTTACTACTTAGTTTACTACTTAGCTTCATTTCATAGAGATGTTTCAACAGCATTTATTTGTAACCTTCTTAGTATGAAGCATTACAGCAGACACTGTCAGTAAAGAAAAAGGAATTGTTGCCAGCAATCCAAATTGGGAGAGTGAACAAGTATAAAAATTACAGTAATTGATATTTAGTGAAAGTACACATAAGAGATAGAAACAGAGTTATGAGACTTCAAAGTAGAGAAATCACATTTAGTTTTATATGGGGATGGTGGAGGAGGAGTATTGCGAATCTATGGGAAGGCAGAGGGTACTCATCAAGAAAGGCCTCACAGAGTACATACAATTATGAGATATTATTTTTAGATTTATTGAATCTAAATTTAGATAAATCTAAATACACTTGAAAAAGGTGTAAACTGCTATTCTTTACTGGGTCCATTTTAGCCATCATAACAACTTGTTTGTGTTCAATACAGTCTAAGTGGTTGGTACACAGTAGTTAGAAAGCTACTAGATTTAATTCTTTATAGCAGAATTATATCTTTAAATATTTCCCTATTTAGGTTGCAGACTATTGCCTTAAGATGAGAAACACAAGAGATCTCAGCAAGACCTAAGTCAAATTCTTGACTATTTCAGTTCTGAAGTAACAATAATTTTGATAATTTTAATAGTAAAAAAACTGCTTACTATATGCCACATACAGTCCTAAACACTATATATATTCCAGACACTGTACTAAGTGCTTAGCTTATTTAATCACAACAACCCTTTGAGACAGAAACTTTATTATGCTCTTTTTTCCAGACGAAGAAACTATACAGGTTGATTTATGTAACGTCAAATAGCTAGTATACATTTACACTGAGATTTGAACCTGGGCATTCTGGCCCTTGAAACCAAGTGCCTAATCATTATATATTACTGACTCTAAGAGTAGACTAAATAGACTATTACTACTCTACACCAGAAACTGTTAGCGGTCGAAAAGCCAGTGCTTTTGATTTACATGAGCCTTCTTGAGAGACAATATATTTTTCCTTAAAATTTCAAGAGGTAGATTTTGAACATCAAGAGGACACAGGATATGTAATTTATCCTGTGCATCATAGAGTTGACAAAAATGCAGGATGATATAGGATCAGGGTCTTTTTTGGTCACTTAAAGGAGATGAAAGTCTGATCAGCTGGTGGCAAAAGAAAAATCTGAGAAGGCCCTACTAGGGCTTTAATGGGTGCCAGAAAAGTTCCTGCTTACTTCCATTGTGTGTAGTGTAAACCTCATAGGGAGGACAAAAGAAAGCCTGGCTAAGTGTATGGGGATCCATAGCAGATGGAGCTTCAGAGGGTGCAGCTCCCAAACTGCAAAGTAAAAGACGTCCCAAGTCCAATATCATGCCTGAGTGACAATGGACCATTACTGAAGGAGGTGTCTGATCATAGGTCCAAAGACAACCTCTCAGAGCCCCCAGGTACTCTAGAAGCAAGGGCTAAATGTAGGCTGGTGTATGACAGGATACACTGTCCAAGCCAGGGCAAGCATCAAGGGACAGAATGGTACCCAAAGCCTGAATGAACAAAACACTCAACTTTGGCCAGTGTGGATGGAGGATGATGTCATACCTTATAGACATTCCAGTTCTGATCCTGGAGACAAAAAGTAAGACTCCTAGAATTTAGATTATCCTTAAGGGGAGGAGAAAGAGGAAAAACATGAAACAGAGTTTTAAACCAAAACAGATTCAGATATATCTGAAAGGGACTGAGCCACCTTGAATTAGCAAAGTTAACTTTTCAATTAGAACAAACTTGAGAAATAAGTAAATAATTTATAGAAAAACAATAAAAAGTGCATTTTAGAAAATCTTACTTTCGTTGCCTGAGCTTCACACTTCTTCTAGGGAGAGAAGAAAAAAAAAACGTTAACACAGTTACTAGGCTTGAAAAAGGCTATCTTGCTATAAACATTCTTTCCTCAAGATTTTAGACGTTTTGTTCATAGGTCAGGAAATTTAGCCCTAAGATATTTCAAGAGGTTAATCTTAGAGAATAAGTCTTCTCAAGATCATTGAGAAGATTATAAGAGGTTATATGTGTGAAAAGTTAGTGGAAAGTACTACGTGTAAAACACCATTGTTTTCATTTTTTAATTGGCAAAGGCATGATTAGTGGCAAAAACAGGGTCTGTAAACTGTATTTCATTTCTTTTACTATAATATCATAAACATTGTCTTCCATTTCCTCGAGACCAATTTTCCTTTTCTGCTCCAACTACTATAAAATGATAGTATCAGATAACAGTGAAAAGGAAATAACTCAGGTTCATCAGTCTTCAGTTCACACAAAACAAGGCAATATTAGGTGTCTGAGTAGTTGTTAATAGCAGCTTGACTATGTGAGTGTCACTGGGCTGTGAATATTTTCTGAAGTTCATCATGTTGGCAGTTTAATGTGAGATATTTTATAGGGGAGGGGTGGGTAGGAGAATATGCAGAAGATCTAGCTCCTATTTCCTGTTGATTGTAATCACATTTGTCACTCACCTGCTTGAACTGCTAAAACCCTTTAGGAGCCTGATTGAAGAAGCCTCCTGTTAAGTGGAAAAAAGTCTCTCCTGCTTCTTAGCAAATCACAGTAAACATGTCAACACATTATGGGATGCAGTAAACTTTTGAATATATGAACATCTGATGAGAAGATCTTTTTGATCAGAGCTTTAATGTTGGTTCAATAGGCAGGACTAGTTATCCGTTTTGTTTACTTTCAGGTATCTGAGGCAGTTATACACACATGCTGGGATTTGGGGTCAGTTCCCTGCGAAATGTATGGAAACACATTTAACACATAGACTTTTGAGTCTTCTCTCCCCGCTGACCCTAGTATTTTAAAACAGGATGTCCTGGCTCTAGGAAAGTGCCTCGATATTCTAAAATAGATACATTAAATACAGTACAAAAATGCAGTTGAATTTTTCTTCTGGATGTTTGTAGCACATTTGTGCAAATTGTAAATAATTTGTTTTGCTGAATTTTCTTTAGCACATTCTTAGTGAGATAGTAATATTTAATATCACTGACAAATATATTGGGCATCTCTAGTAAAAGTTTTTCTAATTATTTGGAAATGTAGACATTCAGAAGTTGTCATAGCTATAAATACTGATAATTTAAGAAAACAATAATTGCTCTGATGACCTTAGTTATAAGAATAAATATTCCTACTAATAATAACCACTGCTACATTTATTGAGCACTTGTTATGTTCTAGACATTGTTCACAACATTTTCCATGCATTAGCTCATTAATCACAACAACCCTGAGGTAGGTACTACTATTATTCCCATTTTAAAGATAGGAAAACTGAGGTACTGAAACGTTAACTACCTTGCTCTGGGTTACATGGCTAGTGAGTATTAAAGCTGTAATGTGAACAGTTACTCTAACTCTAAAACCAGTACTCTTAATCACCAGGCTAATTATATTCTACTTTCTTCAGTTTTTATTTTTCATTTTCTGTTTTTTTCATCAGTCTCTCCAAATTCTCTTTCTTGCTCATCCTCTCTCTTTACCTGTACTATCACCATCCCCATTCATTTTGCGGGTATCCGTTGCTGTTCATCCTCCCCTTCTCATCCTCTCTTTCTTTCTCATCACACTACCTCTTCTGTCTAGAATTTCATCTTCCAAAGTCTTCTTCATGTAAAAAATATTTCACTAAACAAATACAAGTGTTTGTACCTGAGGTTTTAATTGGAGGCTTTGAAGAAAATAACAGGTTAGAATTGAGAGATTGTAGGTTCTAACATTAAGAGAAATGAGGGAGGAGACATTTTACCAACATTTGAGTTGAAGCTTCATCCAAAGGTATTTAAGGCATTGAGTTTCAATGGATATCCAATGTTCTGGCCCCTAATGTCTTTTCTCTTCACTGTTTGATTTCTCCAGGAGAATTAGGTGGCTGGTGTGGGGTGGGGGTAGGGGCAGGTAAGGAGAAGCAAAAATAAATACATAACAAGGCAGGATACAGAGGTGATTCACTAACTGTCAGGAAGTTTAAAGTGTGAACAAGACTGCCAGTAGGAAGTGAGTCACTAACAGGCAACCCAGGGGAAATCTCCCAAGAGAGAAGAGAAAAGTTAGTTGAAAGAGAGTTGACTGTTGGGAAAGTTATTAAAGTAAGGTCTTCAGTAGACACAGTAACTTGGAGGTTTGATGTATAACAGGGAGAGGCTATCTGATCCCTGATAGCTCCCTTGTTCATGCCGGAGTTTTTTTTTTTTTTTTTTTTTTTTTTTTTTTTTTTTTTAGTATTTATTTATTTATTATTTTTAGTAATTCTTTTCCTTCTTTTAAAATAAAAATAAGCTGTAAGAAATAAAGTTAATATTTATCCAGAAGTCTTATGCACTAGGTACTTTATATAAATCATTTTATCTTAAAAATAACTCTGTGAAGCAGACACAAATATTATCTGTATTTTCCAGATAGGAAAACTGAGAAGTTAAGTATCTTGCCCAAGAATACACAGGAAAGGATGTGGCAGATACAATATTAAACAAGACATCAGGCTCCAGAGTCTACCAGACCAACCACTTTGCAATATTGCCTCTCATTATTAATAAATGACTAATTTCTTAGTGAAGGCATGAGTAGATAAGGCTCTTTTTTCTCCTCATTTATAGAAAAACTCAGAGAAAGAATGAGACAGAGCGACTAGAAAGGAGGAGGAAGGAAGGTGAGAGAGAGTGACAATTGAACAAAAGAAAAGAGTGATGACACAAAAAATAACAATAGTCAATAACATTTTTATGTGTTTCTTCTGTTTCTGTGCCAGAAACTTTGTTAGGCAACTTGTATACATTACTTTATTAATCACTCCAAGCACTTCATATGTGGATGCTTTTATTTTACCTCCTTATATTTATGAAGATGTTGGCATGGAAAGTTAAGCAAATTGCCCAACATTATGTAGCTAATATATGACAGAGCTGGGCTTTGAACCCAGGCCCGGGGATCCTTTTCCTCAACCACATTACTGAGCAGACTGAAAAGAAACTCCTAATGATGACTGGGGTGAGGCTAGTCCTCTGTAAAGTTACCAAATTGATCATTGTTGGGGTCTTCAATTTTTTGTCCCCGTTTAATAATTATAGTCTAGATGATCTGAACCCCTCCTCCCTAAATTGTTATTGAGAACCACATGGTCAAGCTTAGATTAGGAGACAGTATGGAGAGCAGCTGTTAAAATTCCAGCAGTGGGGTCTTCAATTTTGTAATATTTGATAGCCTTAATGGCTGTTCTCCCCTCCTTTCTGCCCCATGAGTGGGTAGCAGAAATTCCTGAATGAGAACTGCAAGCTAAGAGTCAGGAGGACTGCTCAGCTGGAGGGTGGGCAATAAAACCCAGTATAACACAGCATGAAAATAGTTTTTGGGGAAAAGAGATGTTGGAAATATACAAGCTTCAAAGCCTAGAGAGAAGAAAATTCAGATTTTTTGGGGGGCAGGAAACAGTAGCTGATAGTAGATGTGGTTATGATGTCACCAGGACTTCACCCAAATTAGCTCTTCATGACTTTACCTAGTGCCGCAGATGAAAGGAAATTAGATTCTCAAAGACTCAGGAGGATTAGAAGCTGAAGGCACTATTTTATTCTAAGCTGGAGATAGAAACAAGATAGGTCAGACCACAAGGGTCTGAAACCAGACTTCACAGGCTAGACTAAGGCCTGTTAGTTGAAAAAGCAATACCCCTGGCAGGGAAAAGCAGAATTTTCCGAATCTTGTAGAGGCTTGGGTCATATGCAGTGGTTTGCATCTGTTGACCACTCAGGATCCCGGTTACAAATACCTTCAAGGCAAATTATCCTCAGATGTCAGCAACATTTATTCATTTGTTCATCAAACATTCATGTTCTTGTAACGTGCCAGCCATGGTGCTAGGTGCTGGGTATATAGTAGAAAATGAAATAAATGTAACCTCTGCTCTCATGAAGTTTGCCATCTGGTGGAGAAGCCAGCAATTGAACAGATAAATACACAAAAACAAGTTTCAAGTTATAGAGAAATGAAGGAAAAGTGAAAAGTGCTTTGAGGAGAAGAAAGGCAGGGACATTGTACTGGACACAGAGATGAGCTATGCAGATCTTCCTTCAAGAAAAGACTTTCTGAGAATTTTTGCCTCTATGGTTATCAGTGACAGTGACCTGTAAGTTTCTTTTTCTGTTGAGTCATTATCTGGCTTTGTTATCAGGGTAATGCTAGCTACATAGAATGAATTTATGAAAGTATTCCCTCCTCTTTAATTTTTTTGAGAGTTTGATTCATTATTCAAATGTTTGGTAGAGTTCAGCAGTAAGCCATCAGGTCCTCAGCTTTTCTTGGATGGGAGACTTATGGCTTTTATTCTACTACTCATTGCTGGCTTGTTGAGGTTTTCTCTTGCTTCATATTTCAATCTTGGTAGGTTTTATGTGTTTAGGAATTTATCCATTTCTTCTAGGTTTTCCAATTTGTTGGCATATAGTTAGTTGCTCACACTAGTCTTGAATTATTCTTTGTATGTCTGAGGTCTCAGTTGTTATCTCTCCTTTTTTGTTTGTGTTTTTATATATTTATTTGGATCTTCTCTCTTTTTCTTTGTGTAACTAAACATTTGTTGAATTTTTAATCTTTACAAAAAAACAACATTTTGTTTTGTTGATATTCTGTATTTTTTTTGTCTCAGTTTTACTTATTTCTACTCTGGTCCTCATTATTTCTTTCTTTCTACTAATTTTGGGTTTGGTTTGTTCTTGCTTTTCTAGTTCCTTGAGATGTGTTTTTAGGTTGTTTATTTCTCCTTTTATGATATAGGTGTTTATTGCTTTAAACTTCTCTCTTAATACTGCTTTTGCTGTGCCTCATAGATTTTGATATGTTGTATTTTCATTTTCATTTGTTTCATTCTTAATTTCTTCATTGATCCATTGATCAATGCAGAGCATGTTGTTTAATTTGTACATGTTTGTGCATTTTCCAAGGTTTCTCTTGTTATTAATTTCTAGTTTTATTCTATTGTGGTAGTAAAGATGCTTGATATGATTTCTATTATTTTGAATTTGTTCAGACTTGTCTTGTGGCTTAAGATATAGTCTACTGTGAAGAATGTTCCATGCACTAGTGGAAAGAATGTATTTTTTTCAGCAGTTGAGCAAAATATTATGTAAATATCACTTGGGTCTATTAGACCTATTGTGCAGTATAGTTCCACTGGTTCTTCGTTGATTTTCTGTCTGGATGATGTTCCCATTACTGACAGTGTGGTGTAAAAGTCCCTTACTATTTTTGTATTGCATTCTATCTTTCCCTTTAGATCTTTTAATACTTGCTGTATATACCTGGGAGCTCTGGTGTTGGGTGAATATATACTTATAATTGTTATAATTTCTCTTGCTGAATTGACCCCTTTATCATTATACAGTGACTTTCTTGTCTCTTTTTACATTCTTAGATTTGTAGTCTGTTTTATCTGATATAAACATAGCTATTCTTGATCGTTTTTGGTTTTCACTTGCATGGAATATATTTTCCTACCCCCTCACTTTCAATCTATGTGCATTTTTGTAGGTAAAGTGGGTTTCTTGAAGGCAGCATATAGTTGGGTCTTGATTTTTTTATATTCAGCCAATCTATGCATTTTACATGGAGATTTCAGACCATTTACATTCTATGTTATTGTTGATGAGTAAGGACTTACTATGGCCACTTTATTGCCTATTTTCTGGTTGTTTTCAGACTTTTCAGTCTTACTATATTGCTTTGTGTTGAAGTGGTTTATCTGGTAAGATGTTTTAATTTGTTGCTTATTTTTAATGTATCTATTACAAGTTTTTGTGCTGTGGTTATCATGAGGCTTATGAAAAACATCTTAAAGATATAGCAAGTTATTTTAAAGAGATATTTTGATCACAAATAAAGTAATAGAAACAAACAAAAGCACACACACACACACACACAAATACTAGCAAACTGAATTCAACAATGTATTAAAGGCTGGGTGCTGTGGCTCACGCCTGTAATCCCAGCACTTTGGGAGTCTGCGGCAGGTGGATCACAAGGTCAGGAGATTGAGACCATCCTAGCTAACATGGTGAAACCCCATCTCTACTAAAAATACAAAAAAGTAGCCAGGCATGGTGGCAGGCGCCTGTAATCCCAGATACTCAGGAGGCTGAGGCAGGAGAATGGTGTGAACCCAGGAGGCCGAGCTTGCAGCGAGCCAAGATTGCGCCACTGCACTCCAGCCTGGGCGACAGAGCAAGACTCCATCTCAAAAAAACAAAACAAAACAATGTATTAAAAAGGTTCTTTGCCATAATCAAGTTGGATTCATTCCTGGGATGCAAGAATAGGTCAACATATGCAAATCAATAAACACGATATATCACATTAAGAGAATCAATAACAAAAGCCATACAATTATTTCAATAAATGCCAAAAAAGCATTTGATAAAATTCAACATATCTTCATGGCAAAAAACCTCATCAGAATGGGAATAAAAGGAACATACCTCAAAATAATACAGGCCATATATGACCAGCCCACAGCTAACATTGTACTAAATGGGAAAGAGTTTAAGGCTTTCTACTAAAATCTGGAACAAGCTCAGGATGCCTACTTACACCACTTTTACTCAACACAGTACTGAAAGTTCTGGCAAGAGCAGTTAGGCAAAAGAAAGAAATAAAGGGCATCCAAATTGCAAAATAGTAAGTAAAATTAGCCTTGTTTCTATAACATGATTTTATATCTGGAAAAAACTAAAGACTTTATCAAAAAACTGTCATAACTTGTTAATAAATTCAGTAGTTTCTGGGTACAAAATCAGCACACAAAAATCAATAGCATTTATATATACCAACTAAGATACTTCATATAATTTCTATTTCAATTATCTATTTCTATTTCAAAAAAATCTGAAAAATTAATCAAGAAAGCAATTCCACTTACAATAGCTACAAATAATATAACAGACATTGAACTCAATCTAACCAAAGAATTAAAAGAGCTAAACAAGGAAAGCTATAAAACACTGATGAAAGAAATTGAAGAAGACACAGAAAAATGAAAAAATGTTCCATGTGCATGGGTTGGAAGAATTAATATTGTTAAGATGGCAGGAAAACACAAAGCAATCCCTATCAAAATACCAATGACATTCTTCACAGAAATAGAAAAAAAATCCTATAATTTATTTATTGGTTTATTTGATTTCCAAATTTTAAGTACGGGGTACATGTGCAAGATGTGCAGGTTTGTTACATAGGTAAATGTGCACCTTGGTGGTTTGCCGCACAGATCATCCCATCTCCTAGGTATCAAGCCCAGCATCCATTAGCTATTCTTGATGTCCTCCTTCCTCCCACACCCCACCCTCTGACAGGCCCCAGCGTGTGTTGTTCTTCTGCATGTGTCCATGTGTTCTCATCATTCAGCTCCCACTTATAAGTGATAACGTGGTATTTGGTTTTCTGTTTCTGTGTTAGCTTGCTGAGGGTAATAGCTTCCAGCTCCATCCATGTCCCTGCAAGAACACTATCTAGTTCCTTTTAATGGCTGCATAGTATTCCATGGTATATATGTACCACATTTGCTTTATCCAGTCTATCACTGATGGGCATTCAGGTTGATTCCATGTCTTTGCTATTGTGAATAATGCTGCAAGGAACATACGTGCTCATGTATCTTTGTAACACAATGATTTATATTCCTTTAGGTATATACCCAGTAATGGGATTGCTGGGTTAAATGGTTTTTCTGCCTCTAGGTCTTTGAGGAATCACCACACTGTTTTCCACAATGGCTGAACTAATTTACATGCCCATCAACAGTGTAAAAGCATTCCTTTTTCTCCGCAACCTCACCAGTATCTGTTGTTTTTGATTTTTCAGTAATAGCCATTCTGACTGCCGTGAGATGGTATTTCACTGTGGTTTTGATTTGCATTTCTCTGATGTTTAGCTTTTAAAATATGTTTGTTGGCTGCATGTATGTCTTTGTTTGTTTGTTTGTTTGTTTTTGAGATGGAATCTCGCTCTGTTGCCCAGGCTGGAGTACAGTGGCATGATCTCGGCTCACTGCAACCTCCTTCTCCCAGGTTCAAGTGATTCTCCTGTCTCAACCTCATGAGTAGCTGGGGTTACAGGCACCTGCCACCATGCCTGGCTAATTTTGTATTTTTAGTAGAGATGGGGTTTCACCATGTTGGCCAGGCTTGTCTTGAACTCCTGACCTCAAGCGATCCACTCACCTTTTTTTTTTTTTTTTTTTTTAGACGGAGTCTTACTGTGTGACCAGGCTGGAGTGCAGTGGCACGATCTTGGCTCACTGCAACCGCAACCTCTGCCTCCTGGGTTCAAGCGCTTCTCCTGCCTCAGCCTCCCGAGTAGCAGCTGGGACTACAGGTGTGTGACACTATGCCCAGCTAGTTTTTTGTATTTTTCGTACCAATGGGGTTTCACCATATTGGCCAGGATGGTCTGGATCTCGATCTCTTGACCTCGTGATCCACCCGCCCCTTCCTCCCAAAGTGCTGGGATTACAGGTGTGAGCCACCATGCCCAGCTGATCTGCTCACCTTGACCTCCCAAAGTGCTGGGATTATAGGCATGAGCCACCACACCCGGACTTTACCCACTTTTTTATGGGGTTGTTTGTTATTTTCTTGTAAATTTGTTTAAGTTCCTTGTAGACTCTGGATATTAGTCCTTTGTCAAATGGATAAATTGCAAACATTTTCTCCCATTCTGTAGGTTGTCTTTTCACTCTGATGACATTTTCTTTTGCTGTGTGGAAGTTCTTTAGTTTATTTAGATTCCATTTGCCAATTTTTGCTTTTGTGGCAATTGCTTTTGGCATCTTTGTCATAAAATATTTACCCATGCCTATGTCCTGAATGGTATTGTGTAGATATTTTTCAAGAGATTTTATAGCTTTGGGTTTTACATTTAAGTCTTTAATCCATCTTGAGTTAATTTTTGTATATGGTGTAAGGAAGGGGTCCAGTTTCAATTTTCTGCACATGGCTAGCCACTTCTCCCAACACCATTTATTAAATAGGGAATCCTTTTCCCATTGCTTGCTTTTGTCAGGTTTGTCAAAGATAGGATGGTTGTAGTTGTGCGGTTTTATTTCTGAATTGTCTATTGTATTTCATTGGTGTATTTGTCTGTTTTTATACCAGTACCATGCTGTTTTGGTTACTATAGCCTTATAGTGTGAAGTGAGGTACTGTGATGCCTCCAGCTTTGTTCCTGTGATGCCTCCAGCTTTGTTCTTTTTACTTAGGATTATCTGACTGTATGAGCTCTTTTTGGGTTCCATATGTATTTTAAAATAGTTTCTTCTAATTCTGTGAAAAATGTCAGTGATAGTTTAATGGGAATAGCATTGAATCTATAAATTGCTTTGGGCAGTATGGTCGTTTTTATGATATTGATTCTTCCTATCCATGAGGATGAAATGTTTTTCCATTTGTTTGTGACCTCTCTGATCTCCTTGAGCAGTGGTTTGTAGTTTTCCTTGAAGAGGTCTTTCACCTCCCTTGTTAGCTGTATTCCTAGGTATTTTATTCTCTTTGTAGCAATTGTGAATGGGAGTTCATTCATGATTTGGCTCTTGGCTTGCCTGGTGTTTTTATATAGGAATGTTAGCGATTTTTGCACATTGATTTTTGTATTGTGAGACTTCGCTGAAGTTGCTTATCAGTTCAAGAAGCTTTTGGGCTGAGACAATGGGAGTTTTTTTGATATATGATCATGTCATCTGCAAACAAAGATGTTGTGCCTTCCTCTCTTCCTATTTGAATACCTTTATTTCTTTCTCTTGCCTGATCACCCTGGCCAGAACTTACAATACTATGTTGAATAAGAGTGGCAAGAGAGGGCATCTTTGTCTTGCGTCACTTTTCAAGGGGAATTCTTCCAGTTTTTGCCATTCAGTATGATATTGGCTGTGGGTTTGTAATATATGGCTCTTTTTATTTTGAGGTATGTTCCTTTAATACCTAATTTATTGAGAGTTTTTAACATGAAGGGATATTGAATTTTATCAAAGGTCTTTTCTGTGTCTAATGAGATAATCATGTAGTTTTTGTCTTTAGCTCTGTTTATGTGATGAATTACATTTATTGATTTGTGTATGGTGAACCAACCTTGCATCCCAGGGATGAAACTTACTTCATCTTGATGCATCATGTTTTTGATGTGCTGCTTGATTTGGCTTGCTAGTATTTTATTGAGGATTTTTGCATCGATGTTCATTGGGGATATTGGCCTGAAGTTTTCTTTTTTTGTTGTATTTCTGCCAGGTTTTGGTATCAGGATGATGCTGGCCTCATAGAGTGAGTTGGGGAGAAGTCCCTGCTTTTCAATGTTTTGGAATAGTTTCAGTAGAAATGGTACCAGCTTTTCTTTTTACTTCTGGTAGAATTCAGCTGTGAATCTGTCTGGTCCTGGGCTTTTTTTGTTTGGTAGGGTTTTTATTGCTATCTCAATGTCAGAGCTCATTATTGGTCTATTCAAGGAGTCAATTTCTTCTTGATTCAGTATTGGGAGGGTGTATGTGTCCAGGAATTTATCTATTTCTTTTAGATTTTCCACTTTATGTTCATAGAGTTGTTTGTAATATTCTCTGATGATCGTTTGTATTCCTGTGAGATCAGTGGTGATATTCCCCTAATCATTTCTGATTATGTTTATTTAAACATTCTCTATTTTCTTCTTTATTAGTCTAGCTAGCTGTCTATTTTATTAATGTTTTAAACAGCCTGTTCCTGGATTAGTTGGTTTTTTGAAGGTTTTTTTTCTGTCTCTATATCCCTCAGTTTAGCGCTAATCTTTGTTATTTCTTGTCTTCTGCTAGCTTTGGAATTTGTTGCTCTTGGTTCCCTAGTTCTTTTATTTATGATGTTAGGTTTTTAACTTGAGATCATTCTAGCCTTTTGATATAGGCATTTAGTACTATAAATTTTCCTCTTAACACTGCTTTAACTGCATCTCAGAGATTTTGGTACATTGTCTCTGCTCTCATTAGTTTCAAATAAATTATTGATATCTGCCTTAATTTCATTATTTACTCAAGAGTCATTCAGGAGCAGGCTGCTCAATTTCCATGTAGTTGTGTAATTTTGAGTGAATTTCTTAATATTGAGTTCTAATTTGATTGTGCTGTGGTCTAAGAGACTGTTATGATTTCAGTCCTTTTGCATTGCTGAGGAGTGTTTTACTTCCAACTATGTGATCAATTTTAGAGCAAGTGTTGTGTGGTGATAAGAAAAATGTATATTCTGTTGTTTTTGGGTGCAGAGTTCTGTAAATATCTAACAGGTCCACTTGATCCAAAGCTGAGTTCAGGTCCTGAATATCTTTGTTAATTTTCTCTGTTGATAATCTGTCTAATATTGTCAGTGGGGTGTTAAAGTCTCACACTATTATTGTGTGGGAGTCTAAGTCTCTTTGAGGGTCTCTAAGGACTTGTGTTGTGAATCTGGGTGCTTCTGTATTGGATGCATATATATTTAGGTTAGTTAGCTCTTCTTGTTGAATGGAACCCTTTACTGTTATGTAATGCCCTTCTTTGAATTTGTTTATCTTTGTTGGTCTAAAATCTCTTTTGTCAGAAACTAGGATTGCGATCCTGCTTTTTTTCTGTTTTTCATTTGCCTGGCAAATTTTCCTCCATCTCTTTATTTTGACCCTATGTGTGTTTATGCATATGAGATGGGTCTCCTGAAGACATCATATCGATGGGTCTTTGTTCTTTATTCAACTTGCCATT
Source organism: Homo sapiens (assembly GCF_000001405.40). Lineage (NCBI taxonomy): Eukaryota > Metazoa > Chordata > Mammalia > Primates > Hominidae > Homo > Homo sapiens. Next base: position 80,117,774 of record NC_000004.12, on the reverse strand, counting down.
CTGTGTCTTTTAATTGGGTCATTTAGCCAATTTATATTTAAGGTTAGTATTGTTATGTGTGAATTTGATTCCGTCATCATGATGCTAGCTGGTTATTTTGCAGACCTATTTATGTGGTTGCTTTATAGTGTCAATGGTCTGTGTATTTCAGCATGTTTTTGTAATGGTTGTTAATGGTTTTCCCTTTCCATATTTAGTGCTTCCTTTAGGAGCTCTTGCAAGTCAGGTCTGGTGGTAACAAATTCCCTCAGTATTTGCTTGTCTGAAAAGAATCTTATTTCTCTTTCACTTGTGAAGCTTACTTTTGTTGAATATAAAATTCCGTTTTGAAAATTCTTTTCTTTAAGAATGTGAATTTTGGCCTCCAATCTCTTCTAGCTTGTAGGGTTTCTGCTGTTAATCTGATGGACTTCCCTTTGCAGGTGACATGGCCTTTCTCTCTGGCTGCCCTTAACATTGTTCCTTTCATTTTGACCTTGGAGAATCTGATGATTATGTGTCTTGGGGTTGATCTTCTCATGGATTATCTTACTGGGGTTCTCTGGATTTCCTGAATTTGAATGTTGGCCCTCTTGTTAGGTTGGAGAAGTTCTGCTGAATGATATCCTGAAGTATGTTTTCCAACTTGGTTCCATTCTCCCCATTTCTTTCAGGTACCCCAATCAGTCTTAGATTTGGTGTCTTTACATCATCCCATATTTCTCAGAAGTTTTGTTCGTTCCTTTTCATTCTCTTTCTCCTATTCTTGTCTGCCTGTCTTATTTCGGATAGATAGTCTTCAAGACCTGAAATTCTTTCTTCTGCTTGTTTTATTATGCTATTAATACCTGTGATTTTATTGTGAAGTTCTTGTAGTGTGTTTTTCAGCTCTAACAGGTTGGTTATGCTTCTCTGTAGACTGGCCATTTTGGCTGTCAGCTCCTCTATTTAGCTTTCTTGCACTGGGTTATAACATGCTTCTTTAGCTCAGTGAAGTTTGTTATTACCTGCCTTCTGAAGCCTACTTCTCTCAATTTGGTCATCTCACCCTTACCCCGGTTCTGAGCACATGCTGGAGAGGTGTTGTGGTCATTTGGAGGAAAAGGGGAACTCTGGCTTTTTGTATTCCAGCATTTTTGCATTGATTCTCTCTCATCTTTGTGGGCTTATCTACCTTTGATCTTTGAGGTTGCTGACCTTTGGATGGGGTTTTTTGTTGAGTTTTGTTGTTGTTGCTGTTTTCTGTTTGTTTGTTTTTCTTTTTATAGTCAGGCCACTCTCCCATAGGGCTGCTGTAGTTTGCTGGGGATCCGCTGTAGTCCCTAATTGCCTCAGTTTTTCCTGTACATGGAGGTATCACCAGTGAAGGCTGTGAAACAGCAAAGATGGCAGCCTGCTCCTTCCTATGAAAGCTCTGTCCCGGGGGTTACAGACCTATTTCCCGCCCCAATGCTCCTGTAGGAGGTGGCTGGAGACCTCAGTTGGGAGGTCTCATCCATTCAGGAGGAATGAGATCAGGGATTTGCTTAAAGAAGTAGTCTGGCTGCTTTTTGGTAGAGCAGCTGTGCTGTGTTGAGGATAACGTTCAGCCCTCAATTGGTTTGGGCTCTCCAGGGCCCACAGGCTGAGTGGGCTGAGAAGCCTGAACAGCCAAGTTGGTGGCCTGCCTTGCTTCTCCGGTACTCTGTCCCAGGGAGAAATTAGAGCTTTTTTGGCCCCCTAGAACACAGGCAGGGGTGGCCAGAGGCCCTGGCTGGGAAGACCCAGCTGGGAGGACCCGCCACAAGGAGTAGCGGATTATGGTCCTACTTAAAGAAGCAGTCTGACCACATCTTGACACAACAACTCTGTCATGCTGGAGAACCGCCTCTGCCTGTGTCGGCTTGGACTCTCCAATGCCTGTCGGTTGGAATGGCTGAGACATAGTCGTACAACCAACTCAGGCAGTGGCCCTTCCCCCTCTCCTGGGCACTCCATCCCTGGGAGAGATCAGAGCTCTATCTGTAATATGTGTGTGGGGGGGTGGCTGGAGGGCCTGACTGGGAGGCCCTGTCCAGTGAGGAGGAATGGATTGGGCCTGCTTTAAGACGCAGTCTGGCCAAAATCTGGCAAAGCTGCTGTGCTGCACTTTCCTCATCTGGACTATTTGGACTTTCCAAAGCCCACAGGCTGGAACAGCTGAGTTGACCAAAGAGCAAAGATGGTGCCTGCCCCTCCCCCCTGTGGCTCCATTAGGTCTCAGGCAGTCTCCACCCTGTTGCTGGTGGCTGGTTGGAATTCCAAGGCAGTGTGTCTTATCTTTTGAAGTGCTGTGGAAGTGGGGCCTGCAGAACAATGCTGCTTGGCTCCCTGGATTCTACCACCCTTCCAAGGGGTATGTGCAGAACTTCTGCCTTGCCTAAGTTGTAGACACATTTGTTGGAGATCTCATCTTGGCCCCTTAAAATCCTAAAATATATGGAACCACAAGACTGAATAGCCAAGGCAACCTTGCACAAAGAGAATTGAGCTGGAAATATGAAAATATGACACCACCTGACATCCAAATTTACTTCAAATCTGTAGTAACCAAAACAGCATGGTAATGTTATATAAACAGATACATAGACCAATAGAACATAATAGAGAAACTAGATATGAATTCATGCATTGCAGCCAACTCATTTGCAACAAAGGTGCCAAGAACATGCAATGGGTAAAGGAGAGTCATTTCAATAAATGGTGCTAGAAAAACTAGATAACTATATGCAGAGGAATGAAACTACACCCTATCTCCCTCACCACACAAAAAAGTCAAATCAAAATGGATATAAGACTTAAAGCTAAGAGCTGAAACTATGACACTGCTAGAAGAAAACATTGAGAAATCCTCTGGGACACTGGCCTAGGCAAATAACTTTTGTGAAGGACCTCAAAAGCACAAGCAACCAAAGCAAAAATAGACAAATGAGATCAAATCAGGCTAAAAAGCTTCTTCACAGCAAAAGAAACAATCAACAAAGTGGAAGGACAACCTGCTAAATGGAAGAAAACATTTGCAAACTATCCTTCTCACAAAGGATTAATACGCAGAATTTATAAGGAGTCCAAACAATTCAATAGCAAAAAAACAAATAATCCAATTAAACAAAGGGCAAAATATCTGAATGGACATTTCTCAAAAGAATACATAAAACTGGCCAACAGATATATGAAAAATTCTCAATATCACTAATCATCAGAAAAGTGCAAATCAAAGCCACGATGATATCATCTCATTAGAATTAAAATGGCTTGTATCAAAGACAGGTATTAACAGATGCTGGAGAGGATGTAGAGAAAGTTGAACCCTCATACACTGTTGGTGGGAATGTAAATTAGTACAACCACTATGGAGAACAGTGTGGTGGTTCCTCCCAAAAACTAAAAATAGAGCTACCATATGATCCTGCAATTCTACCACTTGATATATATCCAAAGGAAAGGAAATCAATATATCGAAGAGATATCTGCACTGTTATGTTTACTGCAACACTATTCACAGTAGCCCAGATATGGAATCAGCCTAAGTGCTCATTAGTGAATGAATGGATAAAGAAAATGTGGCATATATACACAATTGAATATTATTTAGCCATAAAAAAATACAATGCTATCACTTGCAGTTACATGGATAGAACTGGATGTCATTTTATTAAATGAAATAAGCCGGGCACAGAAAGACAAACATCACATGTTGTCACTTATATGTGGGAGCTAAAAAAGTGGATCTCATTAAGATAGAAAGTAGACTTGTGGTTACCAGAGGGTGGGAAGGGTAGCAGGAAGCGGGATGAAGGGAAAAGGAAAGAATATAAATGTATTCTTACATTTAAAGACTGTTTTAAGAGCACCACTGAACTGTACACTTAAAAATGGCAAATATGGTGCATTTTATATGGATGTTTTACCTCAAAAAATTTTAAAATAAAGAAATAATTTGCTGGCCAGTTGTGGTGACTCATGCCTGAAATCCCAACACTTTGGGATGCTGAGATAAGAGAATCACTTGAGGTCAGGAGTTTAAGACCAGCCTGGTCAACATAGCAAAAACCCATCTGTATTTTCTAAAAAATTATAAAATAAAAAAGAAAGAACTTCCCGCCAAGACCCAAGGCGGGTGGCTAGCTGGTAATCTTCAGCTTTTAGCTTCATAAGGATTAGCTTCTGCTTTGAAGAGGTGACTCTAGTCAGTGGCTGAAAAAGGCAGTAGTGTAAGGGATTAGCCATTGCTATCCAATGTGAGACCCTTGCAATGTACAATCTTTGCTCCAGGTCTTTTGGCTGGTCTGGCAGGGAATGTGTCTTCAGCATCATCGTCTGAAGCTCTCTCTTGCTCAGTCTTGTTTTCTCAGCTTTCCTGTTCAGGCGTTGCCCCTCAAAAACAATCCACACTCCTAATTCCATCTCAGAATCTGGTTTCCAGAGAACCCAAACCAACAGACTTCACCTAGATTTGTGGGGGAAGAGGAAATGGAAGTCAACTCTGAAGAATTGATGTTTAAGAATTAGCCAGGTTATGGGTGGGGGAAAGAACACTCCAGGAAGAATTGGATATTATGTTTAAAGACCTCAAGGAAGGAAAGAGTGGGAAGAACGCTGATATGCCTGGAGCATAAAACATGAGGGGAGAATAACCCAAGATGGCTGGGGGTGTGGGCAGGGGCCATCATGCTAAGAATCTGGATTTCATCCTAAGGGCAGTAGAAAGCCACTAAAAGCGCTTCCCTGTAGACAGGGAAGTATCATTATCAGGTTTGTGGTTTTATAATATCAGTTTAGCTGCTATGTAAAATGTGCGTTAAAGAATGCCAAGAGTGGAAAAGGAGAAACTAGATAGAAAACCATTTAATTTTCCAAGGGAGAGATAATAGTGGCTTGGACCATGATGGAGTGGCTGCGAGGATGGAGAAAAGTGAACCTATTCAATACACGCTTTGGAAATAGGCTTTTCTGAGTACTTCACCATCCTTGGACTTGTAACAGGTTATTTGTCTTCATTTTGTCTAAGTCTAAAAGACTTGGGAAGAAATTTTCCCAATGAAGTAATTCTAAAATACCTCATTTTATTTATAAATCATTAAAAAATATGATTGTCGTAGAGCTTTAAACTTTTTTTATTTTTTTTAGATTCTTTGTTTCCAGAGAATCTAACACAGCTGGCTATAGTTAGGTTTATTTATTTACTTTCATTTTAATTTTTTTTAGAGAGAGAGACTCCATCTGTGGTCCAGGCTGGAGTGTGGTGGCCCAATCATGGCTCACAGTAAGCTCAAACTTCTGGGCTCAAGGGATCCTCCCACCTCAGCCTCCTGAGAGTAGCTAGGACTACAGGCGTGCGACCACGCCTAATTTTTTTTTCTTTTTGGTAGAGATGAATTTTTGTCATGTTGCCCAGAGTGATGTCAAACTCCTGGCCTTAAGAAATATTCCAGCCTTGGCCTTCCAAAGTGCTAGGATTACAGGCATGTGAAGTTAGATTTGGTTTAAAATTTTACCCTTTTGTATTAAATTAAATTAATTAATTAATTTAAAGACTTTTTAGAGCAGTTTTAGATTCATAGCAAAATTGAAAGGAAGGTACAGAGAGTTTTCATGTATATCCTGCCTCCACACATCCATAGCCTTCCCCGCTATCAACATCCCCCACCAGAGTAGTATATTTGTTACATTTCATGAACGCACATTGGCACATCATTATTCCCTACAGTTTACATTTAGATTCATACTTGTTGTAGTAAGTTGTACGGGTTTGGACAAATGTGTAATGACATGTATCTACCGTTATAGTGTCATGCAGAATATTCTCACTGCCTTACAGGTCCTCTGTGCTCTGCCTATTCATCCTTCCTAACCCCTGGAAACCACTGATCTTTTTACTGTCTCCATAGTTTTTCCTTTCCCAAAATGTCATATAGTTGGAATCATACAGTAAGCAGACTTTTTAGATTGGCTTCTTTCACTTAGTAATATGCATTTAAGTTTCCTCCATATCTTTTCATGACTTGATAGTTCAATTCTTTTTGAGTGCTCGGTAGAATTCCATTCGCTTGGTGTACCACAATTTATTTGGCAGTTTTCCTATTGAAGGACATCTTGGTTGCTTCCAAGTTTTGACAATTATATATAAAGCTGCTGTAACCATCTCTTACAGGTTTTTGTGTAAGTATAAGTTTTCAACTGCTTTGGGAAAATACCAAGAAGTGTGATTGCTGGGTTGTATGGTAAGAGCATGTTAGTTTTGTAAGAAACTGCCTGTCTTCCACAGTGGTTACAACATTTTGCATTCCCCCCAGCAATGAAGTAGAATTCCTGTTTCTCCACATTCTTGCCAGCATTTGGTAGTGTCAGTGTTCTGGATTTTGGTCATTCTAATAGATGCATAATGGTATCTCACAGTTGTTTTTATTTGGATTTTTCTGATGAGATGATGTGGAGTGGATGTTCCTTCACATGTTTATTTGCCATCTATATGTCTTCTTTGGTGAGGTGTCTGTTCAAGCCTTTGGTTCATTCTGTAATTGAGTGATCTCTTATTGTTGATTTTTAAGAGTTCTTTATATATTTTGGATAACAGTCTTTTATCAGATTTGCCTTTCGCAAATTCCAGTTTCTGGCTTTTCTTTTTATACTCTCGACAGTGTCTTTCACAGAGCAGAAATTATTTTATTCTACTGAAGTCCAGCTTCTCAATTCTTTCTTTTACGCATTATGCCTTTGGTGTTGTATCTAAAATGTCATCACCAAACCAAAGATCATCTAGATTTTCTCCTATGTTATCTTCAATAAATTTTATAGTTTTGTGTTCTACAATTAGGTCTATAATCTATTTTGAGTGAATTTTTGTGAGGGGTATAAGATCTGTGTCGAGATTCATTTTTTTTTTTTGCATGTGAGTATTCAGTTGTTCCAGCACTTTTTGTTGAAAATATTTTATACTTATTCTCACAATTCATCTTAACATCTTTTTTTGAAACATTTGGGGAAGGATAGACAGGTAACAGATAGGAGATGGATGACTATATTTATGTGTGTGTGTGTATATATATATTATATATGTATGTATACACACACAAACACACGTAAAGAAACACATATTCTCACAGATTGTTATGTACTTATGGGGAAATAGAAGAGACTAACTGAAACCAAGACTATTCCCCCAAAACCCAAGGTGCATAGGTCCTGCAGATACATGGTCTATTAATTAGTGTGGTTCTCATCATGGCATGTCTTCACACTAGACTTGAAGTAAGTTGAGAGTAATTCCCTGTGTCCTTGTGGAGTTATAGCCTCAGAACTTAGCAGGACCACCTGGTTGCTACGTTAAAGCTTATTTAAGTGCCTTGATCAACAGTGGATGTTGGACATAAGATCACATAATGAAAGAAAAGGCTAACTTAATTTTTAAAAATAGTTCTGGCAGATGGATTATAAAGTAATGGCCTCTAATTTAAAAACATCCTACCTTTTGAAGCTTGCATGGTAGTAGTTTAAAAAATTAGTCATTCTATGAGGGATCATATAGAGGATAGTTGTCTGTCTTTTGTAAGAAGGTTTTCAATAGATGTTTCTGTTTTTTCAATTATTTGTGTTCACAACTATTAAAGTCCTAGAGATGGAGTTTTAAAATTTGAGGCTGCTCACAAATACTTGAGAAAGTCAAAGTTTAAGTAATTATAAAATGGTAGCGTATGTGTTATAGTTGACATGGGAACAAGGAGTATATGGGAACACAAAGGAAAGTGTATTTATTTAGGTGTAGGCGGGACATCAGGAAAGACCACAATGAGAATACTTAATACCTTCTTGAACGATAGCTATTAATACAAGTTGGTTAAATGAGAATATCATTTATTTCCCATTAATGTCACATGAAATTGCAAGTAGAATTAAGCATGAACGTGTTTGAGAAACTACAAGTAGTTATTTCGGAGATATGAAGTGCAGGATAGAGGGTAGTGGAAAATGATACTGGATAGATAAGGACTATACCATTAAGGGCTTCATAAACCATGCTAAGGCAGTGTGCATCACTGAGGAATTTCACATCATCCCACTGACAGTAATGAGATGGAGAGAGAGAGACTGGAGGAGCTTAGACCAGAAGCAAGAGTACCAAGTTTTAAGATTAAAAATTTAACGACAAGAATCTTTATTTTATCAGTGTTATAGGTCATTTAAAGATGAAATATTGATACTCAATTTTCTAATTTTCCTGTTAGCCAAATCTGTGACTACTGTTACTGTTTTTTCCTTTCCTCACATGCCCTTTCAATGTGCTGTGCCTTGTTTTTAAAGAATCAACTTTTGTTTTGGCTGATCCTCATTATGGTGGGTTTGTTTGCTATTTCATTAATTTTATGTTTCATTTTCTTTTTTTTCTATTTTCTTTGGGCTGGTCTTTTTCTTCTCTTGAAATGAATGCGTATCTCATTGAATTTCAACTATGGTTTTAAAAAATATTCATTTAAGATCATAAACTTAGCTTTAGCTGTATCCCACAATTTTGACAAGCAGAACTTTCACTATTATGCATTTAAAATATTTTCTAATTTCAAAATTTAATTTCTTCATTAACCGTTTGACTATTTAGAAGTTTATTTATTTTCAAACACATAAACATTTTTCCAGTAATCATTTTTAATTAATATTATAGGTTTTTAGTTTATTTTCATTGTGGCCTAAGAACATACTTTGTACACAATGTTAATTTATGTCCCAGCATATGGTCCTTTTTTGTCAGTGTTCTCTGGGCATCTGAAAAGAATATGTAGTTTGCTATTGCTGCATGCAGTATCTACTACATGACAAAATTAGATTATTTTGTCAATCATGTTGATAAATCTTTCATATCTTTACTAATGTTCTATTTGCATATTCTATTAGTTTTGGAGAGAAGTATGTTGTAATATCCCACTATGAGTGTAGATTTATTTATTTCTTATTTTAGTTCTCTCAATTTTTGCTTATCATGTTTAGAGCTATATCTTCCTGGTGAATTAAACTTTTTTTATTATTATGTTTTCTTGAGCCCTAATATTGCTTTTTGCCTTAAAACCTACTTGGTTTGATATTAATATGGGGGTATCAGCTTTCTTTTGATTAGTGTTTGCAATATATACCTCATTTTACTTTATTCTTATACATTCAATTTTTTCTGTTTTAAAATTTTAATTCAATTTAATTTTAAGTTCCGAGACACATGTGCAGGACATGCAGATTTGTTACATAGATAAACTTGTGCCATGGTGGTTTGCTACACCTATCAACCCATCACCTAGGCATTAAGCCCTGCATGCATTGGCTATTTATCCTGATGCTCTCCCTTCCCCCATTTTTATCTGTGCTTATATTTGCATTATCTATTTTCGTAGGTGGGTAGTTGAGTTTTGTTTTATAAATTCCATGCTAATAATCCTTATCTTTTAATTGGAACATAAGCTAGCCACATTTAATTCAATTTTGATATATTTTTGTTTAAATCTACCATATTGTTGTGTGTTTTCTATTCATCCCAACTGGTCTAGTTTTTCTTTTTGTCTTTCTTTTTTCTTTTCTTCTTTGGATTCATTCAGGATTTTCGAATTTTTCTATTTTTCCCGCTGCCTTATCTTAAAAGCCATGCATTGTTTTAGTATCTTTTGGTGACTACCTTGAAATTAGTGTGCATCATTAAATTATCAAATAAGTATAAATTAGTACTCTTCTTTTTCTGGATAATAGAAGGATCTTAGAACACTTTAATTCCATTTATCTCCCTCACAGTTTTTATGCTATATTGCCATCTACTTACATTCTTGGTAAATTTTAAACTTCAGAAGACATTATTATTATTGTTGTTTGAACAGTTAATATTTATTGAGAGTTACTCATATATTTGCCACTTTGTGTTATTTTTGTATTGCATTTCTGAATTTCTATCTGTGATCATATTTCCCTGGTGTAAAGAATACTCTTTAGAATTTCCTAAAATTCAATATGGGTTTGAAATGAACACATCCTCTGTTTATATATGTCTTAAAATAATTTTATTTCTCCTCAGTTTCTGGAAGATACTTTTCCTTAGTGTCAAACTCCTAGTTGGCAGTCATTTTCTTTCAGTAACTTGAAGTCATCTTATGTTCTTCTGACTTCCAACATTTCTGTTCATCTTCCTGATTATCTCTCTTCTTTCCTTCTTGGTTCTCCAATTATACATATGTTAGGTTTATTTGTTACTCTTCTATGATTTTAATATGATTTTCTTTCTTTTTTTTTTAATACTTTTGTCTCTTTATACTCTCTCTGAATCTTTTCCTCTGATCCACCTTCTAGCTCATTAGTTTTCTCTTCAACTTATATAATCTTCCGTAAACTCTACATTGAGTTCTCAATTTTGCTTATTGCATTTTTCTTTTTAAAATGTTACTTTGTTTAAAATAAATTCTAGTTCTGTCAAAATATTTTTATTCTCTTTAACTTATCAAACAGTTTTTTAAAGCTTCTGATGGCATCCCATAGCTCTCTTTTTATTTTTTCATGTGTTTTTGTTTTGTTTTGCTTTGATTAGGTTGTAGCTTCTTTTTCTCATTAATTTAAATTGCTTGTCTGTCATTGTATATGAAATGTTGTAGACATAATTTGAGCCCTGAGAAAGAGTATTTTTCTCCAGAGAGGATTTACATTTATTTTTTAAATTAAAGACATTTTGCTATGCCTTTAATTCAGTTGGAGATTTTGGGATCATTTGAACTTGGACTACAAAAGATCTTTTTCCCTTCAGCCATCACTGACACTGTTCCAATATTCTGAAAACAATGTTTTTCCTCTCACTCCACCACCTGCCCCAAATCTTCAATGACTATTGTCCAGAGTCTAAACTTTAAATTTCAGTGCTGGCATTCACAATTCTCTTAAATATGACTCCTATCTAGCTTTCCAATCTTATGTTACCTTTTTCCTCAAAATATATTTTCATTTTGTGAGAAAAATTTATCTAATGCTCCAGGGATGCACTTCTACTCATTTATTTATTTTAAACTTATTTTTTATTTTTAAGATTTTTGTTCAACAGTAATATTTAGGTTTCTCCTGCCTGAAAAGCTCTCCTCTGTCTTCCAAATCTTCATTATTTTCACTCTTCTATACCTACTCCAAATTTAATTTTGTTTATGAAGCTATGTTTTACAACCAAGTTCATAGCATTATCTGCTTCCTATGGATTATTCCCTCATCTTTTATTTAGCAAGTGTAATGCATTGACTGTACTACTAGTACAAAAGCAAGAGATTTACTTTGCAAACCAAGTTTAGGTTTCCTTATGTCAGATACTTTGACTTATTCACGTCATCATTTCTGCAGCATCCAGAAATTTTGCATATAATAGTTTTGTACATAATAGTTACCTGAACCATGTAAATCTATCCTAAGCCTTCATAGTTTTCTTAAAAGCTGGTAGGGAAATTGGTCCAGGGTACATATTACAGCCTATAAGTTTATAGTTTGAACTGATTGTCTATAAGTTTGAACTGATTTTTAGGTGCCATTCAACATTGGTGAATAGCTGAAAAGAGAAGTAACAATGCTTGAGATATTTGGTCAATTCAGTTATCAGAAGATAGTATTCTTCCTGAATTCCAAGAATTCTAGAAATTTCTTCTAGTTTCAGTAACTAGAAGAATTATACCACTAATATCTTTTGATTTTGTTTTGTGTTGTTGGAGCAGATGCCTTTGGTGCTTTGTGTCACATCCTCTCCACCAACCTTAAATTTTAGCTGCTGCTCCCATGTTTAGTTCCACGTAAGTTCAGACTCATCTTGTGTTAATAGCATCCGCTATCCTGTCTTTCTACTTTCCTTGTCAGGGCCTTCTACAAAATTTTGGAAACCTGCTTGTGCTATTGGAAGTGTAGGGATATTAACACCATGATGGTGGCCCTCCATCATTGGAGCTCACAGATGAATTATCCAACCTTTTGTTTGTCACTGGACAGTCTGGAATATGTTCTGTACATTGTTAAGATATTTTGAGGGAGTCAAGCTCCTATCACCTACAATGGCAATCTTGCTTATAAAACTCTACGTTGGGTGTTTTTTTCCTCCACACACTCCCTCATTCCTGCTTCTAGAGAACATTCTTCAGATAAACTACCTCTATCTAGGCCCATCTCAGGCTCTTTTGGTTTTTTATATACTCTCAACTCCTACATTAAGTTCTTAATTTTGTATATTGCATATTGCATTCTTTCTTCTAAGTGTATTTTGTTTAAAAATAAAAAATAAGACAGGCAGGTAGCCAGCTTTGTGAGTTTAAGGATGGACTACAAGTACATTTATTTAACAGAAATGTGCTAAGCCTACAGTATCTCCAGGTCCACATTAGAGGTTCTGTTGGAAATGTAAGATAAAAGAAAACAAAGAATTTTTTTTTCGCCTAACTTACATTTGAGTGCAAATCACAATCCAGTTCTCTAAGTTTCTCCATAATGAGGAAATCTGGATTAAGCTTATAAATAGGAAAAGTAGATGGAATTTGAGAGAAAACTGCAGAGAAATATCTAAAGCATGGGTCACTCCCTGGGGTAGAAGGACCTAAGTTGCTTCCTCATACATGGAGCAGCAGGAAGGCACTAGAGCCCTGGAAGGGAGATACATGACATTGCAGTTCATCAAAAGTTTGAAATGGGAGGATGCCAGACTTAAGCTTTGCCCCGTCACTATCTTTCATATGGATCAAGCCTAGTTAATAAATAGGTACTTAATAAATAATTGATGGTCTACTTACAGGTCAAAGCTTAAGTCCTTGTTCTACTGTTTACTTTGAACATGTAATTTAACCTCTTTGAACTCATTTCTACATCTATAAATGAAAATATCAACAATATAGAACTTATAGGATCGTTGTACAGAATAAAAAGGGATTATAAATAAAAAGCATACTTTAAATTATAAAGCAAATATGAATATTTGCAAATATGAATATTCTGGGATCAGAGCTGCAAAACAATGTATCTGTTATAGTCTTGGTTAGCAAATGTTCCTGTAACTATACACGGTTCTTATGGAAGGTTTTATGGCTCTACTAATTAATCACGTTTTGCTTTTTTCCCCTTCAGCTATCTTACTATTAAGTTCTAAGTACCTAAATTGTCAAGCTATTTGTTAATTTTGACATCTGATATGTTTCTTACCAGTTTTCTATAACTTACAATCCATGCTGAGGTTTTCTTTTTTTCTTTTTCTTTTTTTTTTTTTTAGACCGAGTTTCACTCTTGTTGCCCAGGCTGGAGTGCAATGGCACAATCTTGGCTCACCGCAACCTCCGCCTCCCAGGTTCAAGCAATTCCCCTGCCTCACCCTTCCGAGTAGCTGGGATTACAGGCATGCACCACCACGCCCGGCTAATTTTGTATTTTTAGTAGAGATGGGGTTTCTCCATGTTGAGGCTGGTCTCGAACTCCTGACCTCAGGTGATCCACCTGCCTTGGCCTCCCAAAGTGCTGGGATTACAGGCGTGAGCCACCATGCCCAGCCAATGCTGAGGTTTTCTTTTTGTCGTTGATAATGACATTGTAAATGTAAACAAGTGAAATGAGAAAACTGGCCTTTGAAGAACAACCATAAAACAGTATTCCCTTAATTTGTAGACAGTGGTGGGAAAGTCTATGCCTCACTGATTTTGAACAGCATGGCTATATCACTATGCATATTTTCTTTCTTTTTTCCACAGTGTGCTTGAGAATACAAAATTAAAAAAAAAAACAGCATCCCTGTGAATTATTGTCCTCAGAACTATTAAGCAAACAAATGAGTATTTCATAGACTTAACGTGACAATGAATTACACATCCAAAACAGGTTGTGTGTGTGGTTTAGCAAAACAAAATTAAGAGTCATTCTAGGGAAGGACATTGCCACAGCTTTGGCATAATTAGGAATCATCATAATCAAATACAGGAAATTGGCACATCTGCTTTTCAGGCTGTTGATCCAACTGTGAGGCTGCCTGTGCACACTGGCACAAGCAGTTCTAATGCAGCTCGATGTGTTCTGCAAAGCTGTCTTTGCATAAATATTTACATAATTTTCTCCAAACACCACTATAAGCAGTTGTTTTTTATCACTCTTTCTCCCTTGGGTTATTATTTCTTCCCATCCCTACTCCTGGTGAAGGAGTGATCACTTTTTTTTTTTTTTTTTTTTTTTTGAGACGGAGTCTCTCTCTGTCGCCCAGGCTGGAGTGCAGTGGCGGGATCTCGGCTCACTGCAAGCTCCGCCTCCCGGGTTCACGCCATTCTCCTGCCTCAGCCTCCCAAGTAGCTGGGACTACAGGCGCCCGCCACTACGCCCGGCTAATTTTTTGTATTTTTAGTAGAGACGGGGTTTCACCGTTTTAGCCGGGATGGTCTCGATCTCCTGACCTCGTGATCCGCCCGCCTCGGCCTCCCAAAGTGCTGGGATTACAGGCGTGAGCCACCGCGCCCGGCCTTTTAGTCACATAATAATTCTGCTAGTTTTCTTTTTATAAAGCGATCTAAAGGATCTCTCAAGTTTTGACGGTTTATTTTACCTTGCTGAAACTAAAGCATATTTTAAAGTGATACATATTTTATACTTTAAAAAATGCAATTTAAAAAATCTAGCATCTATAGCTGGGCATGGTGGCACATGCCTGTAATCTCAGCTACTCAGGAGGTTGAGCAGAGAGGATTGCTTGAGGCCAGGAGTTGGAAACCAGGTTGGACAATATAGTGAGACTCTGCCTTTTAAAAAAAATTAATCTTGTCTATTTTTCAAGCATTGTTCTGCATACAAATGCACAATTGTCCTATTTTTATTATTGTAAGTTGATTTATAACATCTAAATCAAAGCAGATAAACTATTTCATAATACTCTAAATATTTATAAGAAATCTCCAATGTGGAAGTCATATTTTTCCATCTTAATATAAACCCTTTGCCTTTGATGAAGACACTTGGTTACATTTCCTAGTGACCTTGGCACTTGTGAATTTCAGGGTAGTATGGGATACATTTTTATAACCAAATTATTGGATTGTCTACATGAGGAAAGGTATGTTTCTTCTCCTTCCAAAAGCTTTTGAAAGTTACAACTTTTCAATGATTTGCAGATAAGAAGAAAGGAAGGATTCTAAAAAGAAATAAGAAAGAAGTTTCCCTTTATGACTAAGACTCCAAAGCAAATGCAACAAAAACAAAAATTAATATACTTTAATTAATATACAAATTACTAAGTATTGGTAATTACCAGTTAGATGTTGTTAGTTATAAGTATATATGAATGCTAGATTATAAATGAGCTATCTGTGTGAGGTGCTTATTTTAAACTTTTTAGTGAGATTTACATAGTTTGATTTTAGAATATAAATCACTTCTCTTCAATGAATTCTTCTGTTATAGTAAACTATACTGAATCATAAGAATCTTTTCAAGTGATAGTCATAACCCTTTTTCCTCTTTTACTCTGCCGTGCTTAAAACATTGGCTTCTGTTCCCATAGTACTTTCTTATGGGCCCCAGGTGGCTGCTGTGGAATTGGGCTCTGTTTGAGGACCCATTTCTGCTTTCTTTTAGTTTTCTTTCTCTTGACATTAAGTTGGTGCAAAAGTAATCACGGTTTTTGCCATGGAAAGTAATGGCAAAACCCGGGATTTCTTTTGTACCAACCTAATATCTATCTTATCTTCCTTATCCTCCACTCCAGGTTTCTTCTCCCTTCAGTTTTGGAGGTGGGCTGATGATGGCTCCATATCAGTAAATGGGCACTGTCTTCTTATACTTTGTCTGTGGAGGACTCTGGGAACTTAAGTACTCAAAATGATTCAATGAGTCAGAGTCAGATTTAGGAATAAAATCATGTGTATAGTGTTTGATTCATAGTAGACCTATACTGATGACTCATCTAATCTTTTATAACTTTATAGAGTTTATCTAGGCAGAATATTTTTGTATAATGCACATGTATACCTGTGAATATTTTTTAAAGCGTTGTGTATATGTGTATATGTGGTGTGGTGTTGTGTGTGTGTGTGTGTGCTTACAAATTATTGCTTTCCATCTATTAACTAGATATTAAAAGTTTCCAACTTCCTCTTTCCTTCTAAGTCCAATAATTCTGAGTTTTTTCTCATCTTGTTGCCATGGCCTGGAGGTAAACATCTATGTTATGTTAAGCGGTTATGGTTATGACCTAATTTAAAAGCTGAGTAATTGTCACCAATTTCTTTGATTATATCTATATATCACAGCTAGCAATTCAAAAACTTTTCTGCTTGTATTTTTTTAGAGCAAGATTTTTAAACTCCACATATGTCTTATATTTGCATCTTATGATTATTATCATGCTTATTTCTACTTAAACTTACTCTGAAAATATATAATACATACTTCAAAGTTTCAGAGGCAGTGGTGTGTGTTGGAAAGAGCTCTTTACTGGGAATTTAGCATTCATGTCCCGGAGCCCCAGTTTCTCAACTGTAAAATAAGGAAATTACACTACGGAAAAGTTTAGTCAACATTTATTGAACAATTACCGTGTGCCAGGAACTGTTGTAAATGTTGGTGAGAAAAAGAGAGATTCTCAGATGGAGTTTATGATATTATTGGAAGAAGAGTCAATTCATACTACAATAAATCATTAAAAATCTGTATCAGGAAATGCACAGAGTATTAGGGTGCATAAGGGATACATTTATTTATCTTTTTCCAGAGGATGTCAGAGAAAACTTTTGGAGTAAATTATGTTCAATATGAGAATAAATAAGACAGTACTATAAAGGAGGTGGAGGGATACTTAAGATAAATGTCCCCTGATTATATAAAAATTCTATTATTGGGTCATTTCAACTGAATTTATAGGACATCAACAGTTGAGAGAGTAGAATTACTTATCTTTTAGAAATGTAGAACTTTGGACTTAATCTCTAATGATAGTCTTAATTATTTTTAATTTCCTGGTATGTTTTTCTTCTTTAAGAACTCCCTCTGTGCCTGTTAGTTCAGAAAAGGGATGTTGGTAATTTGAGCCACATAATTGAACTAATAGAATTTTCAGGCTGGAAGGAACCTGCAAACTTGTTCAGTCCAGCCCTCTTATTTTGCAGAATGTTTTTTTAGTTATGACAGATTAAGCAATGTGTCTACTAAGTTTTCATAGTCAGTTAGTGGTTGAGTTTTCACTAAATGTAGTTTCTAATTCCTGGCTTAGTGGTGGTTCAGCTACCTCAGGCTTTCTTTTCATAGCGTGAGGATAAAAAAATGCACATTGAACGGTTATTTTATTATTTTTAAAATTTAACTGACAGTAAGAACATATCCATAGTATTTTCCCCAAGTACCAAGAGAAGAAAATTATAAAAAGGAGTAAAGGTGGAAATATAATTGGAATAGGTTTTTTTTTGTTTATTTTGTTTTGTTTTTGGTTTTCTGGTTACTAGTTTCATCATTGTGGTAGTATAAATCTTTAGGATATATTTTGGTGTTATTTACAAATCTATGCTAGTATTTTAATTGAGAAATAAACATTTTTTTAAACCAGAACAACTGATACAAATCTAATTTTCTCTTTTTCATAGTACATTGATTTTGCTGGTATTATCTTTTAGGTTACAGATTATTTTACAAATTCTGTATCAATTCAGTTGGCCAATATGATGTGGTTAAGAGTTCAGGTCTGCATATACAAAATCAACTAAAGAGGCATTAAAGACTTAAATCTAAGACCTGAAACCATAAAAACTTTAGGAGAAAACCAAGGAAAATTATTTTGAACATTGGCCTAGGCAAAGAATTTATGACTAAGACCCCAAAGCAAATGCAACAAAAACAAAAATAAACAAATGAGACCTACTTAAACTAAAACGCTTCTGCACAGCAAAAGAAATAATCATTAGAGTAAACAGATAACCCACAGAATGGGAGAAAACTTTGCAAACTATGCATACAAAAGAAGACTAATATCCAGAATCTATGAGGAACTCAAGCCAATCAGGAAGAAAAAAAACAAGTAATCCCCTCAAAAAGTGGACAAATTACATGAATAGACACTTCTCAAAAGAAGACATACACAATAGTTGAACTAGTTTACAGTCCCACCAACAGTATACCTAATGTAAATGATGAGTTAATGGGTGCAGCACACAAACATGGCACATGTATACATATGGAACAAACCTGCACATTGTGCACATGTACCCTATAACTTAAAGTATAGTAAAATATATATATATATATATATATATATATATATATATATATATAAAGAAGATATACAAACGACCAACAAACGTAAAAAAAATGCTCAACATCACTAATCATCAGGTAAATGCAAATTAAAACCGCAATAAGATGCCACCTTACCCCAACCACAATGGCCTTTTTTTTTTTTTTGAGACAGGGTTCTGCTCTGTCACCCAGGCTGGAGTGCAATGGTGTGATCCTGACTCACTGCAACCTCCGCCTCCTGAGCTCAAGAGGTCCTCCCGCATCAGCCCCCCCGAGTAGCTGGGACTACAGTAGAGCTGGGGTTTCACCATGTTGCCCAGGCTGGTCTTGAACTCTTGGACTCATGCAGTCCACCCACCTCGATCTCCCAAAGTGCTGGGATTAAAGCATTGCTCCTGGCCAAGAATAGTCATTATTAAGAAGCTGAAAAAAAAAAAGATTTTGGCACAAATGTGGTGAAAAGGAAATGCTTATACACTGCTGGTGAGAATATAAATTTGTATGACCTATGTGAAAAACAGTATGGAGAGTTCTCAAAGAATTAAAAATAGATCTACCATTCCATCCAGCAATCCCACTGCTGGGTAGCTATCCAAAGGAAAAGAAGTCATTATATCAAAAAGACACCTGTACACCTTTACCTCATCTATATATGAGTTCCAGGTCTGTCATAATTCTGGACTAATTCTTGACTCAATATTTGCAGGTCATGTGACCTTAAGCAAGTGGCTAAACTATTCTCTATAATCCTCTTCCTTCCTTCCTTACTTCCTTCCTCTTTCTTTCTTTCTTTCCTTCCTTCCTTCCTTCCTTCCTTCCCTCTCTCGCTCTCTCTCTCTTTCTTTCTTTCTTTCTTTCTTCTTTTTTGAGATGGAGTTTTGCTGTTGTTGCCCAGGCTGGAGAGCAGTGGCATGATCTCCACTCACCGCAACCTCCACCTCCCAGGTTCAAGTGATTCTCCTGCCTCAGCCTCCCGAGTAGCTGGGATTACAGGCATGCGCCACCACGCCTGGCTAATTTTGTATTTTTAGTAGAGATGATGTTTCTCCATGTTGGTGAGGCTGGTCTCGAACTCCCAGCTTCAGGTGATCCACCCGCCTTGGCCTCCCGAAGTGCTGGGATTACAGGCATGAGCCACCACGCCCAGCCAAATCCTATTTCTTTATTGGTAAAATGGAGATGATATTGTAATGAGAATTTAGAGAAAGAGGGTGTGTAAAATATTTAGCCAAAGCCTAGAAAAGTGCTTACTGTATGTCAGTTGTCATTATTGTTATGATTCATAAAAAGTTAATTTCTCAGTAAAAATAATGATTGGAGGTGGTTTCCAGAAACACTGCTTGCAGGAGTACTTGTCAAAGCCAAAAAAAAAAGCAAATTTTTATATTTGTAGAATGCACCAAACCAGTTTTGATATTGATGTTATCACTGCTGTTGCTGGAAACCAGATTTAGTTCATGGGTCTTGGCTGCCAGATGAATGAACTGGAGAGCCAAATTTGTATAAGTGGGCCCCTCATGATTCCTGGGAGTGTCCGGAATGTGAGGAAGCCGCAATGTGTGTTACTGTTGCAAATCTCTCTTCCTGCCAGGAATGACATTATCCGGATAGCTTGGCCCAGCCTGGTCATCCCACCCTATTGGCAGCAGGACAACTGTGAGACAGAAACAAACAGCCTCAGCCAGCGAAATCAGACCCTGGGGAAAGTGGAAATGGGGTGCAGAGAGCTTGTGGAAAGATGAATAAAAACAAGGAAGAGGTTTGGGTAGGGATGTGATAAAATAAAAACTGGAATATGGGATTCTAATTTAAAAAGGTGAGATAATATTTTTGAGATATTAATCAAGTTTTTCTTTGCATTCCTTTTTTCCTTCCCACTATCCTTTCTCCTAAATTAATCCTCCACTCCCTCCCTTCTTTCAGAATAATGCTGGTTGGCATGTGGCCAACTGAACTGAACAGATGACACTGAAGACCAGCTTCTACTTTTTCTCCCTCCACTGGTTCCACATATCTACATACTTGGTCACTGAGGAAGCCCCTATAATTGTAGGTAAATATTAGAAAAGGGAATGGGGGAGTCACAGGATTAACTGAAATTGTTTTATTAGTCCAGGGACTTTCTGCTGCAGTAGAAATTCACTAGTTAGAACAAAATAAATAATATGAAATTCTTGAATATCTGAGTTTGAGGATAAGATTCAAATGTGAAACATTTACACATTACATATATTTTTCCTCTTGTCTTGAATTTCCAGATTCTATCTCCTATAGACTGACTGTTGTGTCCACCTAAAATTCAGTGTTGAAATCCCAACCCCCCAAGGTGATGGCATTTGAAAGGTGGGACTTTTGGGGGGGGGTGATTAGATTGGATTAGTGCCATTATAATAAAGACCCCAGAGAGCTCCCTCACTCCTCCTACTGTATGAGGACACAATGAGATGATAGCCATCTATGAACCGGGAAGTGGGCCCTCACCAGGCACTGAATCTGCTGGTGTCTTGACCTTGGCCTTCTCAGCCTTCATAATGATAAGAAACACATTTGTGTTGTTTATAAGCGACTTAGTCTATAGTATTCTGTTATGGCAGCCCAAATGGACTGAGACACCATCTAAAGTAAAAATCATGTAAAATATCTTAAGAAAGATTCATATTTTGTGATACTTGTGAACAAGGAAGTACAGGGAAGTTTCTTATGAGGTTTTCATTCCTGTTCTCTATAATTATACTGCTAACATCGATGCAACATAGCTCCATTTGAAAACAACAATGACAATAACCCCCAAATCTTTCTTGCTAAACTGAACTAAACCTCTAACTGAGGGATAGGTCTTAGCACTCATTCATTTCACAAACATTTACTGAACACCAATTACAGGTCAGGCAGCATGCCAGGTACTGGGAATATGCTGACAAGAGGAATATGCTGACAAGAAGAATATATGATTTAGGGAGAGGAATTGCTTGCAAGAAGACGAGCTAAGATTCCATGTGAAATAAGAGTGATGGGAGCATAGTTCTTACAAATGATTTTTGCATAAGGTTATTTAATTATAGACAAATGGAAATGGGATAATCTGCAATTTCCTCTCTCAACCAACATTTTCATTCCCTAAATAGCTTTGGACGGGGCAAACACACCCAGAATGCTGTGGGCAAGTGTGTTTTCATTGGTTGATCTGGCTTGCTAATTCAAAGTATACGACCTCACTTCTCAATTACTCACTTAACATTCCAGTACATTTTGGGAATAACTGATAATTTGGGAAGCTGCCAAGAAGATGGATGAATGGTAACAGACTTTTCAGATCTAAGAAAGCTGAAACACAACCTACCAATAAGCTAATTAAAATTGCTGAGCTCTGGAAATGCTCATGAATGGAAAGTACTAGGTGTTTCTGAAGGTGAGAAAGCAGGGTGTGGCTGAAAGCAGGAGGATAGGTTGACAGTGTGATAAGGAGGCATTCCAATTCCAATAATACAAATGGGGAAAATATGACAGTTTACATTCTGAAGTATGAGACCCTCAGAACCCTTTTCTGTATTTAACATCCAGAGCACTTAGGGGCAAATATATATTCCCAAGGCAGGAGATTGTAGAATTGTTCTCTGGGCAAATAAAGTCTATGAAAAAAAGACTTGCAGCTATTGTTAGTAATATAAATCTTCTGGGAAGATGGGGAGGAAAAATGTTATGAATGAGTTAAATTTCTGTCTTTCATAGCATGTAGTCTTTAGTGAAAAATCAGGAAATGTCACAGTAAACATGTTATTTGATATTACATATTATTTGAAATAAAGAGATGATAGAAGATGCTCGTAAAATACTGGAAAATAGCTTTATCCATTTTCTTCCTCTAATCAAACATTAGAGGTGGAATAGAAAAATGATAAACGTGTTACATTATAAAAATTTTACAATAAAAGAAATCAGTATAGTACCATGGAGTCAAACATATTTAGGTTCAATGTTCAGCTTCTTCACCTATGAGTTTTATAACTTTGTTCATGTTGCTTAAGTTTTCTTACCTTGGTAAATGGAAAAATAAGATCAAGCACACAGAAAGCACTAAAAAAATGATGCCTTTAGGGTTATATTAAGTGAAATAATGTATTTAAGTACTTACAGTACTAAAGTAAGTTTAATTAATACTATTATGAGAATGCTTTGTGAAAGACGGGAAGAAAAATTAACTCAGAGTAAGGGGAAGAATGAGTATTTGACTCTGAGTTCACACACACACACGTGTGCACACACACACACACTATATACATGGAAGAGGGGGGTAAGAACAGTACAGCTTCTAAGGGCAGTTACATTTGTCCTTTATATTCTCTATTTGTCTTAAACAGACTAAGAGAAGCAATGCCAATTCTAGCAAGAAAGGAGAGAGATACATTTAGGAAATAATCTTTTGTTGACTTGCCTTAACTCCTCTGTGGAACAAGGAGTCATATAAATAAATTCAAAGGATTAATTATTTACAATATTCTTGGTTAGGTACTAGTTTTAATTGTAGAATTGTATGTATTACATTTAATAAAAATACTTCACTTATATTCTTTCACTTGATTTTAATAATTGCTCTGTAGAATAGGTAAGATAACTCTTTACAGTTGCCTTTGTTAGAAGGTAAGAAATGAGGAAGACTCAGTTTTACCCTGGACTAAGTAAAAGAGAAAAAATAGAAGAAAGAAATGGAGAGGAATGGTAAAAAAGAAAGAAAACTACAGAAATTGCCTAAACATTAGCATAGCTAAGGAAGCAAGACAGAGACAATAATTTAGTTATGAGTAACTATTTTTATAACTCCATGTGAGAAATTTTTATTAATTTTCAGTGAGAAGTGTAACTGCCAAATAAACTGAAATACTGATGTCTCCTGGTTTTTACATCCTCTCCCCTGTTAAAAAAAGTTTCCAGGGAAATTAAAATTGGTCAGTAGAAATGCAATCAGAGCACAGTTATGGGATGACCTTAATGGCCAATCTCATTAAATTATGGTGCATGATGTCCCCCAGCACGCTCTGAGGCTGTATTTGCCAACCAACCAGAATACCCATGTCAGCTGGTTAAGGCACTTTTATCCCTGGGTGGTGCTGAAACTGCACTGACAGAAGTGTGCCCTTTGACTTCATGCAGACCATCTGCTGACACTTATTCTCCAGCTATATTTCAACACAGTTGGTGAGGTTAAAGCCTTCTCTTATATGTAATCACATTCCAACCATGCCTTCTTGATAAACATTACACATTTTAAATGAAATTCTAAAAACTCAATTTCTGCAAGGATTAAAAATGAGTAATGTGTCCATATGGTTTTCTAATATTTTCATAAGTACATTAAAAAACACCCAATAATTGACTAAAATGAACTTGACTTCATTTTGATAAGAATGAAGCTAAAGACGATTAATCTATTGGATTAAACAAATATGGCATTAGGAGCATAGGTGCTAGTGTCAGAATATAGAATACACAGTCTGTGACATTCTTTATGATATTGTGTGTACATTTAAGATACTATCAAACTCTTTTAATCACTACCCTTATGGTAGAATCTTTGTTTGTCTTAGCTAGTGAAATGTCACTTCAACAAAACCCAAAGAATTAAAAAAAAATTATCCACATGCTTAGAAAGCAGAAAATAGCTAAATGTGGGAAAAAAGTCATCTTTGCAAGGAAAGGTCGGCAGAAACATATGGATCCCAAGTGAAATTAAAATAAGGTTTCTGTACAGACTAGATACTGTGGCAGATAACGGTGCCACAGGCCAGACAGAAGGTTCCCAAGGCCCCAGGCTGCTTTCTTACTTCTGCTCGGCTGAAGACTTTATCCAACATTATTTTGGTGATAACACTTGTTATACATCCTCTGGATCCTCAGATGCTAAATCATCCTGTAATAGACTTCATCCAGGAAACCTAAAGGCCAACCATATTTCATCATTTTTTAAGTTTCAGTGATTATAAAACAGCCATCTGTACATGTCTGGAAGCATATTTTTATTTGGGTTATTATTTGATAATGTACAGACAATTCAGTCTTCAATCCTCCAATGTGTCTAGTAAAAAAAAGTCCACAGGAAATTTTTATGAGGTTATATTTTTAAGATTCTAATTAATGTACATATGACATCATTTATATTACACAGGAAGAGCATAATTACATAAAATGATAAATAATATGCTTATTGAAAAATATTTGACTCTATTATCTTACTGCATTTTTTAATTTAGCAAATTTCCCATGTGCTTAGATTTGGAGATCATACATAAAAATTCTGCATAGAAAGTTCTGTCCTCCTGAAGCTTTCCATCCAAAACATGCCCTTTTTATTCTTGTTTAATATTGACATATTACTTCTCAATTTGTATCTACTGGATGCTTTTATATCACCCAACAGACTCAAAGTACGGAGAGACTGAGTTAGGTGCTATAAAAGTAGCTTTGAAATTCAGCCATAGCCAACAATCCCTCACCTTAACTACAGACCTTTGAACCTACATGGCAAAAATATCTGACCCTAAGACACCTTCAACAGGTATCTGGCATTCTGCCATTAGATATCATTTGTGATGAGAGCATACATGCAGATACTGTTGGTAAGTTTAGAGATGGCATGGAAGGAAAGGTAATACCTTAAATATTTACATCATGCATATATTAGTGTGAATGTATTTTTCATCAGATTGTTTTCTTTTTATGAGCAAGAAACAAAGGAATAGGTACTTTCGTGGAAGCAGGGGAGAGAGGAGGTGAGAAGGAGCATGGTAGAAATGTGACGTAGGATTGGGAATTAGCAGAGTGTTGAATATTGTTGTTCAGGGGTGGGCTATTCCAATCATGTTCCCAGCAGGAAACAGTTGGAAAATATTCAAATTGGATAATTTAATGGAAAGGTGATCATAAAGAATGGGGTGGGAATAGGTCAGAAAGGAGTAGATCGTAGAAGCAGAGAGCTGTGTAAAGAGGGCTTCCTGATTGAAGCTGTGCCTTTGACAGTGTGATGTGACAGCCAGCCTGGGAAGATACTGTAAAGCAAGGGCCAAGGAAGACCTAAAAACAAAACAAAACAAAACAAAACAAAACAAAAACAAACAAACAAAACTACATGCAGCGTCCATCAAGAGATTTGCACTGAAATTCCTGCTTTGCAGTGTTCTAACTCTTGTACAAGTCATTTGATTCTCTGGGACTCAGTTCTCTCAGCTAGAAGATATTATACCTTTTTCAGAAAGTAATTTTGAGAATCAGATGACCTCATTTCCATAGAAGCTCCAACCACAGAGCTTCAGGTTGAGGGATGTCTAAAGAAATGTTTAATCTGAAGAGGATGCAAAGAAGTTTTTTTCTGAAGCACATCCTAAGGCTAATGCATGGGATGTGATTTTTGTTTTCATCTTTCATATTTTATTTTAGGTTCAGTGGGTACGTGTGCAGGTTTATTTCATGGGTAGATCGTATGAGGCTGGGGTTTGGTGTCCAAATGATTTGATCACCCAGGTAGTGAGCACAGTACCCAATAGGTAGTTTTTCAATCCCCACTCTCCCGCTCAAGTAGGCACCAGTGTCTATTGTTCCATGGAAGGTGATTAATCTGCATATATGTGATCACAGACAGATGTTTTAGAGATACATGTGTATAAATCTGGTGTCAAGTCAGCAAAATTAGAAAGACAGGGTGACAGAAAGGGAGAGAAAAAATACCAAAAAAAAAAAAACTCCAAAGCTTTTGCCCAAATCATTAGGATCAAGAGTATTAAATATTAAATATTAGACACAATTACAGGGTCCACCCTCCTCATAAACTGTGAATGGAATAGCTCCCAGCTTTTAGCACAGGGGTGATTGCAAATATTTTATTATATTTCTTCAGAAATTTAGTTTAGACAGTTAATTTTTTTGTCTACACTGTTGAATTTCTTACTAAGCCACAGCAAGAAGACTTAAAAACAATTTTTGCCTTGTTTCCCGATGGAACAAGCTTTCAGTTTAAATCCCAGCATAGAGTTATGTATAAAAAATGTCAATGTACTTTATGTCCTACAAGTTACTTGTGTAAAAATATTACCAGTTACAAGGGATGATACACATCTTAAGTCTGCATCAGGGAAAAGATAAATTATTTGTTTGATCTCATGAGTTTGGTATTGTGTTATGATACCATCTAACATGAATGCAGTTTAAAATTCTATGTGAAGTCCTCTGTTTTGACTGTTAATTCAGGGTGGAAAACCATTTCGATAGAAGTGTCAAGGAAATGATGAATGGTGAAAATATCAAGTTGGTTAGCTAATAGTTTTGACTGCCACATGATTCTTCTCGTACTATATCATGTATGAGCAAAAAAGGCATTAATTCAAAGATCAGAAATTCAATGAGTTTTAAACTGCTCACTTCAAGGTACATTGAATTTATCTGCAATAGACTCTACATATTGATGCTTGGGTCTACTTGGCTCCTTGAGTTTATATTTAATATTTGTACCACAAACGAGAAATCATTAATGAACACCTTTAAAATACAAATTTTCAAGGTCAGAATTTCGAAAACAACAGCTGGTTGGTTGGACCATGCATTGCATTTTATTTCTCTATATTATTTCATTAGATTATCAATCAAAAAGTTTACTATAATTTCAAAATAATTATTATAGTCATTTTCAGCCTTTTCTTAGTCTAATTGTGGTTAACATGAGAGCAAAATCTTTTGGACAGAG
Organism: Homo sapiens; assembly: GCF_000001405.40. Lineage (NCBI taxonomy): Eukaryota > Metazoa > Chordata > Mammalia > Primates > Hominidae > Homo > Homo sapiens. Next base: position 80,090,824 of record NC_000004.12, on the reverse strand, counting down.
AGGAGATGGGAATATGATCAGCATAAGCAATACGGATATTGTACTGTATGGAACTGAGACATCCCAAAAAACTAGCTTGTAAGTAGCATTTTTGGAAAGTAAATCTTGTTCTCCCAGTCATACTCTTCATAAACCAAGGGCCCTTCTTGTGAAAGACATCTTTTGAGGAATTTTCCCAGCATATCATCTCCAGGAAATGTCCTCTCAGTGTCAGGTGTGGGGTCTTGCATTAGACTCCAGTCTCATCCACAAGTCCTTTATGACCCCCTCTGTAGTTTCCATGGGACCCTTTTAGCTTAGTAATATGTTTCCTTTAGTATTTATCTAGTTCACATTGGCATCTGTTACTAAAATCAAATTTCTTTCTTTCTTGTGGGTAAACCCTATGGATTGAATTGAAAACTTTGGTTTAGAAGTGGCAGGCTCATTATCTACTGTCATGACCTTGTGGGACACTGTTCCAACAGTGAGATTCCCCCAGGGCTCTTCTGTCTCAACCTTCCCATCCACTGTCTCATGTACAACCACCGCCCAGTCTCTGCTGCTTTTCCAGGCACAGCTGACCTTCAGACTACACACACTTCTCTGAGGCATGGAAATTCCCTTGCCTTCCCACCCTCAGTGTCATTCTTGTGATTCTGCTTTTAAATGTACAATTTTTGGATCCTTCCAGGTTTTCATATTTCACTGAGCACAAAATAAAAAGCAATACAATAATAGTAAATTTTACATGTTTAAAAAATAATTTTAAGTGCTTTCAGCTCTTCCTCATCTTTCACCTCTAATTTGTCTTGCCACAGCAACCTGATGATTCTTCTAAAAGAACAGCTCTGCTCAAACCCCTCTGCCATTTAAATTTATTACTGTATCTATTTTGTCTACACAAAAATGTTTGCACACTAAAACGTTTTTAGCTAAGGTAGACTTTGGTAAACTTTTAAAATTAAAGGCCACATAGTAAATATTTTAGGCTTGTGGGCCACATGGTCTCTGCCTCAACTATCTAGCTCTGCTACTGTAGCACAAAAGTGGTCACAGACCGTATATGAACAAATGGGCATGGCTATGTCCAATAAACATTTTTTTTTCTTTCAAAAACAGATAGCAGGCAGCATTGACCTACAGGCTCCTACAGATTGGGCCTTACCCAGGTCTGTCAGTTTTATTTTCTATTTCACCCTTCACATACTCAGGGCTCCACTGAAATTCAGGTTCTTTTTGTGTTCATTAGGTACTCTGTACATTCACTGCTCTATGCTTCTGTTCCCTGGGATGCGGCTGGGGGAGGATATAGGAAGACTGGTGTTTCTCCAAGTATAGTTTACATAAGAGGTGTCTTTACATTAACTTTAAGGTAATATGTTGTCATGCTGCTTGTTAAGTGTATGATGGCGATATACAGGAAAAAGCATAATAAAATACATGATTAAAACAATAGTAAGACTTTGATACAGGTAATACTATGAGAGAGGTGAGAAGGTAATTAAAGGGGTGCACCTTTTTAAAAAAATATGGGTGCCTTTTTCCCTATCTCAAGTAATGATGTCAGCCTTTCAACTCCCATCCTCAGCTAGAAACTGGTTATGCTTTTTCTTTCTAGGGTGTTTTCTTCCCTTCACCTGTGATAATCTTAAAAACATGACCCATCCTTCAAGATGCACATTAAATTCCCTGTCCTTCATAAACCCTTATTTCTCCAAGTGTAAGTGGTTTCTCCCTCTTCAGAATTCGTATTGCATTCCATCACATCATTTCAGTCTTTGTATTATGGTTATTTTTAAATGTAGCTTAGCTCAGTAACTAGAAGATCCAACTAGGATATCTCACTTGCTAGACTTTGCATATTCCAAAAAGCACAGATCAGTGCTTTGCAGAGAGCAGGCATTAAATGATTAATAAATTTTTAAAATTTGTAAAAATGAGTTTCTTCAAATTAAAGACACTTTTGTTTGATGAAGAAGTGTTAACTCTGTATAAAGATCAGGGTCAAAAGCAAACCCCTGATTTACTAATCTTTAAAAAATATCCTCAGGCACTTGTGGTCCAGTATTGTTGAACTTGCGTTGGTATTTTTGCCAGCCAAATTTGCTACATATGAAACCCATTGGCCATTTGGGGATTGACAACTTTCCTACTGCTCCTTGCAAAGAACTTCCCAAGAAAACTGGGATAGATAATCTATGTGCCATATGTGCTGTTAAAATAAAGTTGGATATGCACTAATCAAGTGGTTTCCATGAGAAACACAAGGCCTCCAAAATATAAAAAATCTTTTTAATTGTAGTACTTATGGTAGTCACTCCAAAGAGCAAAATTACATTTCAAACTTTTTTATCTTAAAAAAGGAGTTAAATATCTAAAGCTTAAATATCTTGGAGCAGACAAACTGTGACTGTTAAAAATGTTATATAAACAAGTTAGAAATAAGCAAAAAAAGTTTTCTCTCTTTTATGCTGCCTACAAAGTCTTTAAATTAGTGCTTAGACTAAAGGAGATTTTTTTTTTCTTTTTGAAAGTGATGAAGACATAGTTGCAGGGTGTTGCCATGGTTTGGACATGGGTTGTTTTTCCTCACCGAATCTCATGTGGAAACCTGATTTCCAGTGGTGTTGGGAGGTGGGGCTTAGTGGAAGGTGTTCGGGTCTTGCGGGTAGATTCCCTCATGAATGTCTTAGTGCTGTTCCCCAGGTACTGAGTTATTACTCTTGCAAGATGGAATTGGTTCTCAAGGGAATAGATTTGTTTCTGTAAGAGTGGGTTTTTGTAAAGCCAGGACATCTCTCGGGTTTGGATGCTCTTTGCCTGTGTTCACATCTTCTTTGACCTTCTCTTCTATGTTTTGACACAACACAAAAGCCCTCACCAGGAGCTAGGTAGATGCTGGTGCCATATTTCTTGGCCAGCCTGCATACCCATGAGCCAAATACACCTATTTTCTTTATAAATTACCCAGCCTCAGATATTCCCTTATAGTAACTTAAAATGGACTAAGATAGCCACCCTTCTCCCATGGTAGATTTCAGGCAAGGGAAAAAGGATAGCCAACCTTGAATTCCCTTAGCTGAATGCATTGGCTAAGACCATCATCATTTAGGTACCATTCCCAGGATAGCTCAGTCATTTTATTTGTTTGTGTCTTTTGAAGAAGATGATGGCTAGGAGGAATTAGGATTGAATACCGTTAATTTTTAAAATTGATATAAAATGTTTTTATATATTTATGGGGTATGGGTAATATTTTGGTTCAGCATACACCATATAATCATCAAACCAGGGTAATTAAGATATCCATCACCTCAAACATTTATCACTTCTTTTGAATACTGTAAATTTTCAATGCACTCAGCATCAAAAGATAGCGGGTTAAAAAACAAAAATGTGTTTATCAAAAAGACAATTTATATAGAAGCACCTTAAAAAACTACAAATTGTCATTTGACTTTGTTTCTATTTTTATTTTCCAAGTTTTATATGATCACAACATATAAAATAAACGTTTCTATTATAATTTAAATTCCTCTAAGTTATTCTGTATTGTAACCTATTAGCAGTAGATACAAATATGCAATTTATTTGTTTAATCTGGAGTGGGATACTGAAAGATTGCTTATATCCTTTGCAATTTTAATCATTCTTAGCTGTAACTTGTTTTGTCTCCCTTCTGAGCTGTCCCTTGCTGTCTGTAATCAATCTCATTCTTTGATTTTTTTAAATTTAAAATCCCTACTTCTGTGTTCTGTGTTTAGGTAGCTGAAAAGATTTTTACTTGTCTTGCAAAAATCTCGCAGAAGTTTATTGAATCTCTGCCTCCTCCTCCTCCTCCTTCTTTTTCCTTTTAAATCTAATTTTGCTTCCCTGCCTCCACCTCAGAGTATCCAAGTTTACCAAGGAGAGGAATAATATCAAGTGAATACCATGGATAATTAAAAAATCAGTTACTTATCTCTTCCCTTCCATTAATAACTTTTTATTGTAATTATAACTGCTAGTAAAATGACTAATTTAAAGTTCCTAGAGATTACAGAAGATTAAGACCTGTCAATGTCTTTCAAAAACAGAATCTATTCTAGCTAATTTAAATGAAAGGAATGTATTAAGAAGGATAAATAACTCAGATTCATTTGGATTGCCGAAGAAGAAGAGTGAGGACTGAATTTCAGGAACAACTCCCCAATCCACACTCCAACCCTTGGCAAGGGAGGTGCTCGCTCTGCCATGCACTGCCTCTGAAGCAGCAAAAAAGACACTCCATACCCTGCCTCTACCCTCATGTAATTGGGTTCTGATTCAAAATCTGGCATGAGTATATTTGGGTGGATTCCAAACGATGATGAAATCTACCTGTAGGGCAGTCTAGGAAACGTCCATTTTAAAGCTTTCTCTAACATGTAGAAAGTCATCCTAGAGGAGAGTTGTATCAGTATTAATGAATTCATCCACAATGACCACCGTTTAAGTCACCAGTTCTTTTCTACTTTCTTTGTTATCCATCCCACCCTCTGCTGGGGTACTGATAAGCAGCAAAATGGCTAGAATTTAAAAACTGGGTTATGAACCAAGTGGTGTCAAGATACATCAAGGACCTATGAGAAGAATAGCTACAAGATACATTGAGATATAAAGGTAAGACCAATGTGAACTGAAGCAATTAGGTAAGGTTTCATAAAGAATTTTCACCTTTCCAGAATCTTTAGACAGAATTTAAATACTCAAAAAAGTATTCCAGCCTTCTGCAGTAACACAGCTCAGCAAATGTTTAGTAAAACCTCTATCATACGTTTCTAGTAAATCACAATTCTTATCCTTAAGAAATTAGTAACAGATTGATAATAACTATCTGAAAATACTATAATGTAAATGAAACAAAAACTTTTATGGCTGAAATTGGGGGTATGGAATGGGGATAATTAACTGACTAGCAGTAATGATGAATTGAAATAGTTATATGGAGGAGAGGGTATATGAAATAAGCCTAGAGGGTGAATAGTATTTTGACTACATGAAATGGAACTTGAAGCCTGAACAGTATTAATTTTTTTAAATAAGTGTTTAATTTATGGATAATTTTAGATTTAAAACGATTGTAAATATACTAGAGAGTTCCTGTATGAGTTGTAAAAGGGTTGTAAATACACTAGAGAATTCCTTTTGGCATTAACATCTGACATAACCATAGTACCTTTGTTATAACTAAGAAATTAACACTGGTACAATGCTACTCTAATAGTATTGGCACTAGTTAATACTATTAACAAAATCACTTTATTATAATTTCACCAAACTTCCCCTAAAATAGACTTCTTTTGTTCCACAATCAAATTCAGGATACCATACTACGTTTTGTTGTCATTATTCCTTAGTCTCCTCTTCCTATATAAATTTTGAAATGATCCTAAATTTACAGAAAAATTGCAAGTAAAGTACAAAAAAAGTTTTTCCTGAACCATTTTTGAGAATGAGTTGTTGACATAATGGCCCATCATGTCCAACTACTTCAGTGTTATTTCATCAAAAAAGGAATTCTTTCATGTAACCACAATATTTTTCCAGTTGTCCCAATAAAGTCCTTTAGAGCAAAATTATCCAGTCCAAAATCACATATTACATGTAATTGCCATATCGCCTTGGTCTTCTTTAATACGAAACAGTTGTTCAGTTTTTCTTTGATACATTGAAGAATACAGGTCAGTTATTTTGTAGAATGGCTTTCAGTTTGGGTATACCTGACGCTTTTTCATCCATCTATAGCAGGAATATTACCAAAGTGATCTTGTATTCTTCTTATTACAACCAATCAAATAGAATATAACTTAGTTTTGTACCAATTTTGGTGATGTCAATTTTGATAACGTGATTAAGGTAATGTCTGAGAGGCCTATCCTATGTAAAGTTACTTTTTTTCTCTTTGCCATGCATAAGTATTTTGTGGAGATAAATTATGTAATGTTCTGTTCTATATAAAACTTTGAATTTATTCATATATTTATTTACATCTGTATGGATTCATGGTTTTCTATTTTACCCAATATATTATAATCTGTTTCTATTACCATTCATTTTTAAAAACTTTTAATCTAGAATTAATTAGAGATTCAAAGACAATTACAAAAAAAAAATACAGGAAGGCCCTGAGAATCCTTCATCCAGTTTTCCCCCGTGGTAACATCTTAGATAAATATACTGCAAAATCAAAACCAGGAAAGTGACATTACTACAATTCACAAAGCTTATTCAGATTTCACCAATTTTACATGTGTGTATAGTTATCTGCAATGTTATTATTTGTGTAACTTCATATAACCATGAAAGCAATCAAGACACAGAACTGTTCCATTAAACTGGGTTCCCTTGAATTACCCCTTTATAACCACCCCTATGTCCTCTCCTCCGAAATCCAAAACCCCTGACAACCACTAATCTAATTTCAATTTCTATAATATTATTTCAAGAACACTATATGAATGGAATAATAATGCATATAACTTTGTGAGATTAGCTTTTTATGCAGCATACTTCCCTTGAGATGGATCCCAAGTTGTTGCATGTGTCAATAATTTGTTCGTTTTCACTGTTGAGGAATAGTTTATGGCATGGATGTAGCACACTTTAATCATTTACCCACTGCTAGGGTTTGAATGCACGTGTCTCTCCAAAATTCATATGTTGGAAATTAAACTGATGGTATTAAGAGGCACGGCCTTTGGGAGGTGATTAGGTCTTGAGGGCTTTTTCCTCAGGGATGGGATCAGTTCCCTTATAAGAAGGTTTGAGGGGGCAAGTTCAGCCCTTTTTGCCCCGCTTTCTGCCATGTGAGGATGCAGCAAGAGGGGCCATCTTTGAAGCAGAGAACCCTCACCAGACTCCAAATCTGTTGGTACCTTGATCTTGGACTTCCCAGTCTTTGGAGCTGTGAGGAATATATATATTTAATCAATTATCCAGTCAGTATTTTGTTATAGTGGCACAAATTAAGACACTCACTGAAGGACATTGGGTTATTTTTGGTTTGAGCATATTATAAATAAAGCTGCTATGACCATTTATATACAGGTTTTTGTGTGAACCTAAGTTTTAATTTCTCTATAATGTCCACTAATGCAATTGCTGGGTGATATGGTGAGTCCATTTTTAGTTTTTAAAGGAATTGCCAAACTATTTTCCAGAACAACTGTACCATTTTGCATCTCCACTGGCAATGTATGAGATATTCAGTTTCTCTACATTCTCATCAGCATTTGCTGTTATCACTATTTTTTATTTTGGGTTTTAATTTGCATTTTCTTAATGGCTAACAATGTTGAATAACTTTATGTGTTTATTTGTCATCTGTATATCCTCTTTGGTGAAATATATGTTTATATCTTTTGTTCATTTTCTAATTGAACTGTTTCATTTTGGTGCAAATATTATCCTAGATTTTTCTTATTGGAGCTCTTCAATCTGACTTCTACAACTTTTGGTCATGCCCCATCATTCTTTGAATACCTCTTACTTTCTGGGACAAGATATTCTAAGTTCATAGATTCCTGACTCACTTTGAATTTAAACATATCTTTAAGAATTCCTAGTTCGCTTCAGTGGAGAGTGACATTTAAAACCAAGAAATAAGCATCATGTATGCCCATTGCTGCTGTTGTTCTCAGTCTATCTAAGTAGACAGAGCTATATATCTGCATATACATGTACACACACACACACACACACACACACACACATATATATACTGTGTATACTGTGTTTTACATATATACACATAGCAGTCTCTTTGGTTTTGCTTTTTGGGGTTTCAGTTATCCACAGTCAACTGCAGTCTGAAAATATTAAATAGAAAATTCCAGAAATAACAATTCATACATTTTAAATTGAACACTGTTTTGAGTAGCCTGATGAAGTCACACACTGCCCTGCACTATCCCTCTCAGGAGGTGACTCATCCCTTTGTGTAGCATATCCACCCGGTATATACTACCTGCCTAATGGTCACTCAGTAGCTGTCTCGATTACCAGATCAACTATCCTAGTATAGGTATCATAATGCTTGTGTTCAAGGAACCCTTGTTTTATTTTTATTACAGTAAATTGCTGTAATTATTCTATTTTATCATTAGTTGTTGTTAATCTCTTACTATGCTTGATTTACGAATTAAAGTTTATCATAGGTATGTATGTACAGGCAAAACAAGTATATACAAGGTTTGGTACTATCCATGGTTCAGACAACCACTGCAGGACTTGAAATATATTTTCTGTAGATAAGGGGGAAGGACTACTGCATCTGCACATATACTCACATCTATATCTGTAATTATATGTATGAATTCACACTAATATCTCCAATTGCAAGCTAGCACCACAGGATTTATTCTAGATTTTTCAATTTCATTATTTACAGCTTTCTTCTCTGACGGTAACTCCCATTATCTATACTAGTTTGACTTAATCCCTCACTATGGTCTGAAAGTTTATATTTCCCCCAAAATCACATGTTGAAACCTAATCCCCAATGTCATAGTATCTGGGCTGGAGCCTTTGGGAGGTCATGCAGGTGAAGCCCTCATGAATGGGATTAGTGTCCTTTTAAAAGAGGTCCTAGAGAGTTGCTTTGCCCCTTCTGCCATCTGAGGACACAGTGACAAGATGGCTGACCATGAACCAGGAAGACGATCCTCATCAGATGTCAAATCTGCTCGCATCTTGATCTTGGACTTCCCAGCTTCCAGAACTGTGAGAAATAAATTTCTGTTGTTTGCAAGCCATGTAGTTTATGGTATTTTGTTAGAGCAGCCTGAAGGAATGAAAGCATTTCCTGAGTGAACCAATTTCTCATCACCACTGTTGCCCTCTCCAACACAGATTCTCTCATTCTGCTTAAGTTCTGACATGAGCACCACCTTGCACTTTCACTCAGGATCTGGCCCCAGTCACGAGCTGCTTCTTCCTACCCTGGGTGGACATCCTCCTCATCTTGCTTGAATCTCTACCTGTGGCCTCAGGCTTCACATACCTTTTCCCTCCATGTCGAAGCCTTTCCTTCTCTCTCTCAAGCTCTGACACGCTGCACTAGGTTGCCACCTAGGCAACCCGCCTGGGCTATGACACACTATGCTGGGTGTCAGTCTGTTAGTCACTCCTTTGACAAGCTTCTCTCTTTCCTGAAGCCCCCCTTACCCTGGTTGGGTTTATATACCTCAGCTGTGCTCTCTCCCTGACCAGAATTCTTCTTCAAATGCTTGGGTTCTTGTACCCTGTGCTCTGCTGCAACAGCCCTACTCACTCTTCTCATGCTCTGGCATCCTGAGACAGCTTCTGCCTTCCAGTGTTGACTCTCTCTCTCCCTGTCCATCCTCTGACACCCTGCGTGGGGATGACCCCCTGCATGGAGGTCCATGTTTGGGCTCCAAATACTCCACAGTGAACTTTCCCCCATGCAGAAGTCCTCCTGATTTTTTTTTTTTGAAGTAAAGGGTGGACTTTATTGTTTATTTATAGGATGCTGCAAGATAAGAAATTCCACACAGAAATAAGAAACCCATTCAGAGGACAAGCTTCCTACAGTATGTACAGTTGGAACTGTTCAAGTATAGTTTCAGTGTAAAAAGTGCTACAATAACCAACCACATTTAAAAAGAGTTCTTAGTAGAGAAACAGTAAGACAAAATACCAAATATAGTACACAACAAATACATACCTCAGCTACATGATCTAAAAGTTAAACGTTCCAGGAGTCCCATTCTGAACTTGGAAGGTACAGCCTTCAGAGTTAGTTTCTGGCACAGCATTTTGATCTTCCTCTTCCTCTACCAAGAAATTCTTCTCAATTAAGCTTAACAAAGCCTTATACACAGACTCATTTTCATGGTTTTGTAGAGCCTCAATTTTGTCTAAGCCTCCACATTCTTCAATCATTATACTAAGTTTCTCAGTTTCACCTAGTTTCTCAGCAGCCTGAAAGATGTTCGAAATGGCATCCAGGATAACCAGAATAACCTTGGTATCTTTTGAAGTTAAGAGATTCATCAATGGTTTTATTAGGCCACAATGAATGAGGTATACAGCCTGTTCAACTGTTCCACCACTGGTATAGTTGGTCATGGCCCCATACAGCTTCCTTTTGTGTCTTTAAAATCTGCCTTAGAGAGAACATTGTGAGGAACGGGACTAATCCATGATTCACAACTTGCTGTATCTCATCCTGAGGGTCAGCTGTGATGTTTGACATTGTCCATGTACCTTCCTTCTGAAAGTTAGTTTTGGAGTTGATGAGCAGGTTGGGAAAGACAGCAAGAGCTCCTGCATCGATCACAACCTGAGTCTCTTCATCTGTACCAGTGACAATATTCCCTATGGGTCTTAGTGCAGGAGTCACAGTTGGCAATTCAGAAGCTCCTAGAAGCTTCACAAGTTGGGGCAAAACTCCTATTTTCAAGAACATGTCAGTTCGTTTATTTGGACCATCAGTAAGGTAGGAAATAGCCCAACAGCTATCTGCTAATACTTCTGGATCATCATGATGCAGGAGCCAAACTAAGGTAGAAAGAATTTGCTCAACAGCATCTAACTGGGGTGCAGGATTCTTGTAGCAGCAGAGGATTGAAAGTGTCCAGGTAAGATGACATAAGTAACCACATACTAAAGATGACATATCGGGAACTGCAAGAAGAGCCAAGAGTGGGTCAACTGCACCATACTTAATAACCAAGTCTCGGAAAACTAAACCATCACCTGCAATGTTTCCTAGAGCCCATACAGCTTGTTCACTGATGTGAGCATGGGGAGATGCTAACAGAGAAATGAATGCTGGGATGGCACCTCCATCTACCACAGCCTTGGTTTATTCTGATGTCCCAGAAGCAATGTTAGCGAGTGCCCAAGCAGATTCAAACTGAATGGGACTACAATCAGTTCTGCCCAAGAAGGACACAAATTTTGGAATCAAACCAGCCCAGATTATGTTGCCTATGGGGGGCTGTTTTTCTCTAGAAAGTAGTTTCATGGCAGCTTGAGTAGCTTGGAGCTGACTTTCCATATTGTTGCTATTTGTGCCTTTGACAATGTCATCAACAGACCAATTTACAGTGCCCTGGTTTTTGCGGTTTTTCTCCAGCGGAGAAGCAGCAACATCAGGAAATGAGCTTGCATTTCTCCTCTTCAGCATCTGGTCATTCCTCTTAGCTTTCCTCAGCTTCACATTGACTTCTATTCTGCGACACCTCATTTCTGTACTGTCTTTTCACTTGTTCTTGAATCTGTTAAGTCGGGCAACTGGTATATTAGCATTCTCGTTGGTAGACATGGTTGTGAGACAAAGGGAGGAAAGCTGCAAAGCAGGCCCAGGGTTCTACAGGAAGCGACGCAGGGATCGGCGGCTGTGGGGCGGCTACGCTCAAAGCGTCCACTTCGACTCAGCTCAAAGAAGTGTTGTCCTCCTGATCTTAATTAGGGTCAGAAACGTCACCTCCTTCCCACCACCAGGTAATCTGCTCACTGGCTTATTTCTCTATTCCTCATGCTGGGCCACCTTCCCACGTAGACACTTTCTTCACCCTTCTCAGTCTCCAATGCTCCATGCCAGGCTGTCCTTCCCTGCACCATGGGGACACTCTCCTCGCCCTGCTTGGCTTTCGGCACATTGCTGGGACTACTTTACTGTAGCTCTGCACCACCCTAGCACCCAGTGCTTGGCCCACCTAATGGCTTTTGACCTGAATTGTTCAGTGAGAATAGAAGGCAAGAGAAAGAGGAGATAGCATTTGACACCTAGAACACAGTATCAGGGAAATGTGAGTACAAAACGAGGTAAATCCAAAAGATATACTTGTGCATAGGAGGGGAACAGTGACTCGCAAGGTTTCTCTGGAGCATCAAGTATATGAAGGGACTAGACTTGTTGAGGTGAGGATACAAAGCTAAGTTGTAATGCTATTGTGGAGGGCCTTCCATTGTTAGGAAACCACATTCCATTGCAGTAACTAGGTAGGTGATTAATATGATTGGTTTTATGCTTCAGGGGACTAATTATATTGAAATATGGAGAAGGTATAGGAAGAATAGAATACTGTTAGAGCAATTCCTTCGAGAATTGAGAAACTGACCTGCACCAGAGCTAAGATAGAAGGCATGAGAGAAGTGATGCAGTTACATGACTTTATCATTCTAGGATGCCAATCCAAGCCTGAGCTGCTTTGTGAAGGTCTGACATTGCACATGAGATAGGACTTTCAACAAACTAGCTGCCAGGTGTCTTGGCCTTTTTTGGATATTCTAGATGCTGTGGTTGTAGGTGCTGTAGTTGCATCACCTAGATTCCTCCTTCAGGGCTGAAACACTAATTTCCCCACAGCCAGGATTTTGCTGTTGACAGCTCACAACTGAGTCCCTCCTCATAACTGCCCCAAGTCAAAAGAAGCTGCCATTGCTTAAGGTTATGCCTTTCCCCTGTAGAGTGGAAGCCCACATTTAGTGAGTGATCCATGAGGGGTAACAAACACTGGCTCCCTTGTCTCACTCAATTCAGGACAACTATGAAAGGCTATCACAGCTCCAGAGTTACCTTTGGTGGTTGCCTGAAGCCTCCTTCGGAATTCCATCATGGTTCAAGTTTCTCTCTGACAGTTCCTGCTTCCCTCATCCCTTCGTTGAGGTTTTGCTGCATGCCTCAATATATCTCCTGCATGCAAATTTCTGAATCTCAAGTCTGTTTCTGAGAAACTCAATTTGAGACACATTTGATCCCAAATGCAAATGTTAGTAATCATTCTCTAACATTAGTTAGCACCCCCTATTGTCATACATAGAGATATTAATTTAGAGGCAATTGCACCTTCCAAAGGCATTGTATTCACTCTCAGGAACTAGTTCAGACATTGACGAAATCTAGTTCTTTAATGACTATGCCTGATAAAAGTTGAAATAAGCTTTATCACTTATAGGTAGTGAAGATTTATTTTCTTCCTCTGAATCACTGTAGATATCATATAATGAATCATTTCCCATGTGACATGAATATGAATCATTTTCAGTATGGTACTCAACTTCCGGGAGAGTCACGTCTGTAGTCGTGTATGCCACAAAAGATGTCTACTTGCAAATAATATAGATTATATAATTTTTTACACATAAAGAATACTTTTATTGTCGTTGCTTATTTGCCTTTCTGTTAGTTTATTTGTTGGGGTATGGGGTGATGGAAATAAATTCACGACAGGAGATTGAAAACGCAAACTGCTTGAGAATAGAAAGTCTAACATTTGTGCTTAAAACATTACCTGATACATAGTAGGTATCAGTAAACATTCATTAAGTATAATAAAAGACCAGTAAATAAGTAATTAAATATAATTTAACGTGTAGTCCATTGGAGCTCTGCAGGTAGGAAAAAAAGGACAATGAGAGGGGGGTCTAGTGAAGACTTTAAATCATCAAGTGTCAATCTCAAGCTATTCTAACTGCATTAAAATGAATTTAACATGTTTTGGGGTTCATTAGCATTTTTATTAATAAGTTTGATTTATTTATTTATTAAGAAGTTTGATTTAATACAAAGAATAATTTTCAAAGAGTGGGGGCATTCATGGATTGTAAAGCCAAATAATTCAGTGGAAATACAAATAATTTGATAAAAGAGACTTTTTTAGATTTATTTACCTACATAATGCAGTATAGAGTCTCTTTTTCTCTCTCTCTCTTAAAAAATCTGCATTATCCCTCCCATTCTTGATGTCAGATTGAAAGTTAAGCAGGGTCCCAGCATGACTGTCATGGTACAAAAGTCAGTTTGAAACCTTACCTGGCTATTCTCCAGCTGATACAATTCCCAGAGTGCTCTCACTGATGAAGAAGGGAAAGTACTGCTGTTGCTACCACTTCTTTTTCATGGCTTGGAGAGATTTTCATGTCTGCTTTTGCTTTCATCTTCCCTCATTATTGCTTAGGAAAAGAATGACCAACAGTTTTGCTTGCCAGGAACTATCCCAGGGACTGCCCTAGTTTTAGCATGGAAAGTCCCATGTCCATGAGACTGAAGACACCCCTCAGTCTGTGACAAATTAGGACACTTGGCTGCCCCAGTAATTAATGATCTTCTGATTAATTTTTATTAAATGAAAGTGATTTGATTAGTTATTGGTCTGAGGCCATTTTTTGCTTTGCTGTAGATCTTACATGAGCAAGTCAGTGAGATGCAAAATGCTCCAGGACTGGGATGAATTCTTTACCCAAGCAAACAGATAAACAAAAAAGTGCTACTATTTTTCTGGTATGTCAATATTCTCTGCCAGCCTTGTACTCAAGAAAGAAGAACTGAGTGGGAGTACTCTCAGAAGGCCTGGAAATTTTGAGGAAGAATGAGTTTTAAATTGAGGTATTTTGCTTTAGTTTGAACCTAGGACAAGATGGATTCTTAGACCAGTTTGGGAAGTCCCAGAAGATGAGCAGGTAATTAGTCAAGACTAGGGATAAAGGAAACCAACAAATGTGAGTTTAAAATACTTCCTTAGGAGGACAGAGTACATGGTTAGTATCATGTCTCATATTTCTTTGCCTTCTGTCTCCTTCTAACATGAAACCAATTGTCACTTTTTTGGGGGGATACATTTTTTCCCCAGATTTTATTCAATAACATGCTGATGTGGCATATAATATCTTTGATTCTGTCTTAAGATTAAAGTTGAAAATGGAAACCAGTTTCAACCAGCAATGAATACAAAACCTTGAAAGATGAACAAGCTGTTGATACAAATTTCCTGAAAATGTCAGCCTGTTTCAGTTCTCTTATGGGAAGTCAGGGAGATTTATGTATTCAGGTTGGACCAAAATGTGAAATGAGAAGTGGCAACACATACCTGGAGACTGGAGGGCTGCAGAAGTAATCAGTATTTTAGAACCTCAAGAAAAGATGAAGCCAAGGAGGACAGAATTAAGGTGCTTTAAGGACTTTCTTAATTAGTCTCAGGACTAATTAAGGACTTGCTTCTAGTGCTTAATTATTTGAAAATTATGAAGGCTGTATGTTTCCTTCTTACAAAAGTAAAAGTTATCTTCCATCTAGCTAGCCCCTTGCCCCTCAGTATCTTCCTCACTCCATCAGGTAAAAAGTGGCAGATTGATGCAGTTGATAGTGGTGGAATTTCCATCCCCAAGTGACCAGTTGGCAAAGAGTGAGAAGGGATGTTAGCCACCCTCCATTCAATGTTTGACATTTGTAATGAGCATATTTTCAAAATGGAGGTCTGCCGGTATATATTGAAGTTTTCATCCATTCATAATTCTCAGGTTAGTTGCTATAGTGATGATGGTCCAAGGTACCATTTTATTTTGCCTTTGTTAAAATAGAGATGATAAGACTGACAGAATGTACTCTGTGTTCATAAGACACCAAATTATAAACAAGACCTAAGACCATGCCAGGCAAAGGTCAAGTCACACACTCCTACACTTAAAAAATAAACTATATTCTAACTGCCAAAAGGGTTTTCTTTTTCTCTAGCATCTAAACAAACACTGGCCTCCAGATAAGCAATATTGAAACAATTGCATCTTACTGACTGCAAGACACTAACTAATTAATCCTCCACCCCTACCCCTGTTCCACAAGCCATAACTACAGCTCTGACTGGACAAGAGACTGATTTTAATAACTCTCCTGATAAGAGACCACTGACCATAGACTGGTTCTGGCTGGTTTACAGAGGCTGTGGCACTGAGTGCCTTCATGTCTTCTGTTTCACCTTTTGACATATAGGGCCTAATTATAATACATTTAATTGTTAAGTCTCCACCTCAAAGTGAACATGAGACATATGCAACTTGCATGTTTGCTTACTATTCATGTTTGCTTACTAAACATGCATGTTGCATATGTCCCATGTTCACTTTGATGTGGAAACTTAACCCACCTGCTTCAGAAATATGCATAGTTCATGTACCCCTTGCTTCAGAAATATTCATAGTTCCTCCTATAACCTGTTGAATATGTATACTTGGCCAACTCATTTAGCATAAATTCCTGTTCCACCCTTTCCTCCCTCAAAGTGCCTGCTTTTTGTCTCTGCCAGAGGCTACACTTCCCAGCCTGTCAAGATGTCCAGCCTGCAGCTGTAACCCTTTATAAGAAATGAAGTTCTCCTTTCCAAATTTATGAACCTCAGGATTGTTTGTCAACATGTTGCTACTGCAATAGTCTCCTAACTGCTCTCCCTGTTGTCACTGTTGCTAACTCCAAATTCATTGTCTCATTGCAGCCAGAATGATCTTTGAAAAACACAGATCATATCAATTCATCTGCCACTCCACTCCTGGGCTTAAACCCCTCTAATAACCTCCTGTCACACTCAATATTAAATATCTGAATTCCTTATCTCAGTAAACAAAGCATCACATAATCTGGCCCTTGCCTATTTGTCTTACATCATCTTACCTGCAAAGCTCCAGCTACACAGTTTTTTTTTTTTCTTTTTTGAATATGCTAAGCTAATGTCTATGGACCTTTGCAGTAACTCCAAATGTTTCCCCTTAGAGCTCTTGGAATGACTGGGTCTTTTTTGTTAGTCACTGAGTCTGTCATTCTTTATCATCACAATATTTTAAATTTCTACAGGCCACCTTTCCAATATGGACATTTTTTTTCCTTGCTTATGTATTTATTTCTTATTGTCTGTTTTCACTCTTCAGCCAGACTGTCAGCTTCATGAAAGCAAGGGCTTGTTATCTTGTTCTGTGCACTAACCTCCACTTCTGGAACAGTGCCTAGCAAATAATAGGCACTCAATGAATCTTTGTTAAAGTAACTAATTTTTATCTTCAAAGAGCTGACATATCTGGTTGTATATCAAATATAATAAATGAAAAGTTAAATACATATGGCAACAAACAGAAGAGATGTATATGTAAGTACTACATAAAGCATTGATTTTGTTAAAAATGAAAAGGTATTTAGGTTCTAAAAGCCAGTTTTGACTAAGGGAGGGCGGAAGTCACGGAGGTGGGGGGAAGAGAGAGGAGGGAGAGCAGAACTAGTAGACAGAGGATTTGTGCACAAACTTGAGTGCTTGCACAAGTTTTGCAAAGGAGACCTAGCTTGCCCAAAGCTGAAATTCTCCAAAACTGGAGCTTGCAGGGAAATGACAGTGGGCTGAAATATTTTGAGGTACAACTTTCCACTCCCAAAGAGGCCTGCTATCCCCTCCCACTCCCCACTCCGGCCTTTCCTTGGCTTGGCTTTTTTTAAAGAAAAAAAAAAAAAAAACTAAGCAGGTTTCTTTAGAAGAAAAAGAGGAAGTTCATAAAGAGTGTTTGTGGTAGTAGGGGTGGGGTGGAGTGAGGAGTGAGGAGGCCGTCACCTCCCATGGAATCCTTAGTCTTGGGTTTGTGAACCACGCATGGGGGCTGTTTTAGCACAGCTGCTAAAATAGGCCAGGCCTGCAGGACATACGGGTATGTTTAGTTTCTAGATAACTTTTGTTTTTCTAAACTCCTTCTTCCCTTTCCCAAATCTGGCAAGCGTTAGTCATCTTCAACTCGGCAGGAACCCACAAGTGTGCATGTGTGGCTCGGAGGCTTCAGCTGGGGCCCCGCCCTCGTCCCCAGGCGCACACTGACACACGCAGCCCAGACCCGGCCCGAGCGGGCTCCTGCCCTCGGCGTGGCTTCTCTCCAGCCGGGAGTCCCAGGGCCAGCTAGCCTCCTCCCCTAAAGGGGACGGCCTGTCAGCGCAGTGCCAGAGTCCAGCACCGGGAGGAAAGTTTCGGAGTGCGGAGGGAGTTGGGGCCGCCGGAGGAGAAGAGTCTCCACTCCTAGTTTGTTCTGCCGTCGCCGCGTCCCAGGGACCCCTTGTCCCGAAGCGCACGGCAGCGGGGGGGACTTCAGCCCTCCAGGCGGGGTGGGTTCCAGGTCCGGGTCCGAGGCGGGCGCTGGAGGCTCGGCCCCAGGCCGGAGAGGAACTCCTTTCGCGAGCTGTCGCCGTGGGCCCGCATTGTCTGCAGGAACTCTCCGGAATCGGGAGGGGGAGGACTGGATCGCGCTTCCACTGGGATTCGTCAAGAGTTCCGGCGGCAGCTGCGGCGGTGGCGGAGACTCCCTTTGTCCTCTCAGGACCTCCCTCTCTCCCTCCCTGTCAGCTGGTGGGTCCCGCTGCCGCAGGCGCCGGCGTCTCAGCTGCTCGCCGCCCCCCACCCCAGAGTGCGTGCCGGGTGACTCCCGCCACCTTTGCGACCCTCCTGAGCTTAGGGGACTGCGAGCGGGAGGGAGTCTCAGGCCCCCGGCCGCAGGATGGTGGCGGAGCGGTCCCCGGCCCGCAGCCCCGGGAGCTGGCTGTTCCCCGGGCTGTGGCTGTTGGTGCTCAGCGGTCCCGGGGGGCTGCTGCGCGCCCAGGAGCAGCCCTCCTGCAGAAGAGCCTTTGATCTCTACTTCGTCCTGGACAAGTGAGTGTGCGAGGGAGGTCCAGGGTCTCCTGGTGAGGGCGGCACTGGATCAGCTGGGGCTGAGGCTGAGATGCGTGTGCGCACCCCGGGGAGTGGTGTTGGAAACCCGCGGAGGGGTGCCCTGTTGCTGTCTTCTTTCAAAGGGCAAGCGCGTTCGGATCTGTGTGGGCGGAGATCAGCCGGGTCGGGGGTAGTGATTGGAGCCCCGGGCTACTTGGCTCTTTGGGGAGTTGGGGTATTCACTGTTTGCCAGTCTTTTGGCCTCTTGGGAAATGGGAGTGTGGCCTCTTGCGGGCCACGCTCCATCGGCCACAGAGTCCTTACCCACCTCCTCGACCCTGCTCGTACGCAGGCTAAAGTTTGCCTGGTTTTATCCTAATCATAGCGCTTTCATTGGAGCCAGGAAAAGCCTAGGGTTAACATGCCCAATGTGGTTTGCATTTCCTGCGAAGAAAGGCTTTTGTGTTTACTCTGAAGAGCTGGGTTCCACTCTAAACAATTAGGCAGGTATTTACCCACCCCAGAAAACGGGCTGACTTCTTCTTCTTCTTTTTTTTTTTGACGGAGTCTTGCTCTGGGACTGACTTCTTTAACTCTGGGTACCACCAAAGTTTCAGCTACAGATACCCTTACTTAGCTTGAAAAAGAGGCCAGGTGCCCCTATGTTCGTGGCATTGAAGAAGGAACCATTTCAAAATGTTTACTTTTCAGTTCCGTGTTTTGTTTCTCTGATCAGTTCAATTTCATCTTTCAGGTCTGGGAGTGTGGCAAATAACTGGATTGAAATTTATAATTTCGTACAGCAACTTGCGGAGAGATTTGTGAGGTATCTTTCTTACTTTACTTTTCTAGGCAGTGGAGAAGTAGAGCAAAGTGTAGAATTTCCCTTTTCTGAAACCTTTTATAGGAAAAACTTTTCCTGAAATGTTACTTTTAAGTGCCTCAAGGTCGTATTGCACACATGCTGTTATTAGGACAGCCCTTCAGTCCTTGAGGGCTTATTTCATCTGGATCCCAGAAACTTGGCTCAGACTCTGGGGAAGCATCTTCAAATACTATTCCAAATGTCTTTTTCTTTCCGAATTTTCATCTGTTTTGAATTTCAGTTATGCTTTCTCATAATTTATCACATTAAAAAAATAAATTTTATGCGAATAGTATCCATAATATATTTTTCTTTCCACACATTTCTTAGCATTATAGAGGCCCTCATTAAAACAAACAAAAAGTGTTGGAAAACTTCAAATGAACATGTGTTAATAACCCGCTACCAGAAAAGGCACTTGTGTGTGTGTTTAAAGCAACGACTTGTGTTTACACAATGTGTGGGTGTGTGGTTGGTTTAAAATTTAACTGTTCTATATATGCAATAAGCATCACCAGGAAAGACTGGTTTCCTCTCCTATAAAAAGCATTACTGGTATGAAATCCAGCTTACTCTCTTATTTAGAGGTAACTAGGAATTAGTGGCATCTCCTATTTAAAAATAACCTCAGGACACTAGGCTTTTGAGGCTTTTTTTTTCCTTCTTTTTTTTTTAAAGAAAAAATGCAATGAGCAAACACAAGTTTATCAAGATAATGGAAAGGACATGAATAGGAACTGTATCATTAAATATTGCTTCTTTCAGTCTTGTTAGCCCAAATGTTTTCTGTAAAACAGGCTTGGATGATCAAAACATTTTGAAAGTCATGTTGCAAGTAACTTCAAACAATCTGTAGAGGCCTAGGCAATCCTTGCTTTCAGTTATTGGCAGCAGTAAAGTTATCCCTATAAAAATGTATGCCTGTCCATGTTCAATCATCAGTCCCTTGCTTAAGAAGCCAAGTTTAACACTCATTTCTGGACAGGGTCTGAGGTAAAACTGTCTAGGAAAGAAAAACAAACAAGATCCTATGTCCCTAAATGTCAAAGGCAGAACAGACAGTTGTTTATAAATTTTCTAATTTAATCCTTCAATGTGAAAAGGGTGTCATGTAGATTTTGATCAAAAGCAATGAATCACATCACTACAACATTTTAAAGAAGCAAGCTCTTATCTTAACTCATTGATCTGGTTTTTAAGTTGGAATTCTATAATACACAGTTGTCTGGCTCAAGCCTAGTTGCTCAATTACTAACAATACATTGTAGGAAGTGAATAAGGGGTGACTAATGAAGAGACTGACTTTTAAAATATGTATAAGCCTTTGAGAGGATTCTGATTTTCAGTTTATAGATTCTAGTTTCATATCTTCAGTTTTGAATCTTAGTAGTAGTTGCAGAGAGTGTCCGAGAAGCAAGAACCGTTCTGTGAGAGACATGCCTAAAACTTGAAAGATATAGCTGACTGGGGCACTTGTTGCCAATGGAAAATAGCATGTTTGAGACTTAGAAAATAAAAAATGCCTAAGCAGAAAGTGATTTATTGTTTCTTTCACATTTTCCATGACTCTTTAAGTAGTCTTACTTCAGGATGACTTTTTTATAGACTCATATCATAGTTATGGTCATTAAGTCAAACTGGGTACTCTCCACCCATAAGTGTTGATAACCATAATCACTTTGAAGGGCCTGGCCACCTTTAAAGGAAATGTTGTAGAAAACCAAGGGAAGAGGAATTTTCTACGAAAGAATTTTACATCAGCTTAGAATTTATCTTTCCAGTTAGTCTCTCTCTAAATGCAAGTCCTTATGGGTCATGGAGGAGTATGTGAGTGCTGGGAAGCGTTGACTAAATCCAAAATGACTTATGCAACAATGTTAAGCAGAGTTCGTCTATTTACTTAGGGAATGTCATTTAAAAGAAGCCTGGACCATTCAGTGAGACCAATTTTAAATGAACCTCCCTAACTATACATCTGTATCGTATCAATATTTCTTTTTAAAAATGTTTTAACTGCCTCTTTTCTTATTTTGCAGCCCTGAAATGAGATTATCTTTCATTGTGTTTTCTTCTCAAGCAACTATTATTTTGCCATTAACTGGAGACAGGTTAGTGCATTATCATTTCACTGCAGGCTTTTAGTAGAGATGAATTTTAAAGGCATGATTGATATTTCCAAGTGGTGATTCAGGCCTCTCAGTGGAATCAAGCAGATGCACAGACAATTCAGTTCTCTAATAGAAGGGAAAGGAGGTATGAGTAATATAAAAGAGCAGTTAATCTGAAAATCAATATCATTTATAGTGGCTGTGGAATGTGCAGTGAAATCTAGATCCCTGTCTTAGTTGTATATTCACCACTTCCTACCTTCCCCGGCCTCTCTGTTACTGTAAGTAGTTCTACATTTTTCTTGTTTAGATATAATATATTAATCAACCAGGAATTTGAAGAACATTGAGGGGGAGAAAGATATGGATCCTTTTGGATAATTTCCTAGATTCAGTAGACATCCTGGATTTCTGGTCTTTCTCTGAGGTCCATTAATGCTGAATATATTCACCTTTATAAGGGAACTTAGTATATATCAATATGTATACCAATATATCTCTATATCTATCTACCTATCTATTTAATCTCCTTAGTGTTTTTTAAAAGGTGTCTTTTTCAGACCAATGTCACAGTATTTCATATGACCATTTCTGTGTCATTCAAACAGTGTCAATGACAAGTTAGAAATAGTCATTGATATATTTTATGTTATTTTTATTTTTTGAGACAGAGTCTCTCTCTGTTGCCCAGGCTGGAGTGCAGTGGTGCTATCTTGGCTCACTGCAGCCCCCACCTCCCAGGTTCAAGCAATTCTCATGCTTCAGCCTCCCGAGTAGCTGGGATTATAGGCACATGCCACCACACCTGGCCAATTTTTGTATTTTTTTAGTAGAGACGGGGGTTTCACTGTATTGGCCAGGTTGATCTTGAACTCCTGACCTCAAGAGATCTGCCTGCCTTGACCTCCCAAAGTTCTGGGATTATAGGTGTGAGCCACCACACCCCACCTCACTGACATGTTTTA
The DNA here is from genome assembly GCF_000001405.40 of Homo sapiens. Classification (NCBI taxonomy): domain Eukaryota; kingdom Metazoa; phylum Chordata; class Mammalia; order Primates; family Hominidae; genus Homo; species Homo sapiens. The sequence goes on along the minus strand of NC_000004.12, from coordinate 80,068,470 downwards.
AAGAATGGGATCCATAGTGGGAGGGAGCTTTTATTCTTCATTTTTATGTCTACTTTATTTAACAGAGTATGTAAGCCAGTTTTTGGTCAATAAATTCTTGTTGAATGAATGAATGAGTGGTTTCCTGTTATTTTGAAATAAAATTTTTCTGAACTGTAGTTTCAGCAAGGGAAGCTGGTGTACTTTGTTTTGCATGATATGTGAATTTCTGAAAAGTTAACTGTAAAAACAGTTTTTTGTAAATTAAGTTTTCCCTTGAAAAGGTCAAGAAATCATAATATCTAAAGGAACTGGGGGAGAGAACTTATTTATAATTCACTTAATTGATTTAGAAAATTATCCGTATAAGATTTTAATCTTTGTGCTTTTAGTTTTCCTTTTCCTAGAGAGGAAAATCTCCCTGCAGATGCTGAGTGCAGCCTAGGATCTTGTCTTCCCATTGATACTTCTCCTTTCTTTCTTCTTTTTAAATTTAATTTAATTTTAATTTTAAGTTCTGGGATACATGTGCAGGGCATGCAGGTTTGTTACATAGGTAAACGTGTGCCGTGGTAGTTTGCTGCATCTATCAACCCATCACATGCATTAGCTATCTATCCTGATGCTCTTTCTCCCCTGCACCCCTCACAGGCCCCAGTGTGCGTTGTTCCCCTCCCTGTGTTCATGTGTTCTCATTGTTCAGCTTCCACTTACAAGAACATGCAGTGTTGGGTTTTCTGTTCCTGTGTTAGTTTGCTGAGGATAATGGCCCTCCTTACTTTCTTGTGTGGATGAGAATGAATCTCATCAGGAGCCAGAGCCATGGTAGTCCACAACCCGTGTATGGCAGCTTTCTATGCTCAGTGATTTAACAGTTCTCGCCTTTATGAAAATAAATTTTCTCCATTGCCCAGCTTAATTTCCAAAGAAACAGCCTTGTATCTAGCCAATCCAGAAAAAAAAGAACCATTTTAACATTTATGGCATTCCTATATATAGAAAAACACTTAGCATCATGCCAGGCTTGTAGAAACTCTCAGTCATTGATAGCTGCAAACATTGTGCCAGGTTCTTTGCTAGACACTTTGCATATGGTTCCTCAGCACTTTGAAGATGAAGTGTAGGTCACTGGGTGACCAGATTGGTATTGCTTAGATACGCATGGAAGGGGTTTAAATCTTTAACCCACGTTAGTGATTCTTCTTTCATCATTGGTTGAATCTAATAGGGGAGACACTGAGATAGGTTACAGAAGAGGCCTTTCTTTCTTTCTTTTTTTTTTTTGTGAGACAGAGTCTCGTTCTGTTGCCCAGGCTGGAGTGCAATGGCATGATCTTGGCTCACTGCAAGCTCCACCTCCCAGGTTCACACCATTCTCCTGCCTCAGCCTCCCGCGTAGCTGAGACTACAGGCACCCACCACCACGCCCGGCTAATTTTTTGTATTTTTTAGTAGAGACGGGGTTTCACCGTGTTAGCCGGGATGGTCTCGATCTCCTGATCTCCTGACCTCGTGATCCGTCCGCCTCGGCCTCCCAAAGTGCTAGGATTACAGGCGTGAGCCACTGCACCTCACCAGAAGAGGCCTTTCTTTAAAGAGGCAGCATAATGTTGCAGCTAAGAGTCACTAGACCAAATCTACCTGCGTGTAAATCCTGGCTTTCCAATTTACTAGCCAAATGGTCAAGGATAAGTTGCTTAACCTCTTTATGCTTCTTCTTTTTTCATCTATATAATGACGGCAATGATGATGATGATGATAGTAATACCTACCCCATAAAATTGTTACATGAATGAAAGTTGATGAATGTGAAGTATTTAGAACAGAGTCTGGTATATAAGTTTTCAAGAGATAAAGGCTTTATCACTATTATTATCATCTGGAGCTAGGCAGTATACAGTATTTTAATGATCAGAGAAGAATCATGCTTACATAAAGAAAATATTGCCCTTCTTAAAAGGATTTATAATATTCCAAAAGGAATTTTAATAACACTACTTGCAACTTGTTTTATACATAGTTGGTTCCTCTGTCTCTTCCTAAATATAAACACTTTAAGTTTTAATAAATTTCACTATTTGTGGCATTTTTAATTAGTTTGGGGTGGCAGAAAATAACACTGAGAATGCCTAGGCTAGAGTTCCAGTTTTGTCACTGACTGATTTGGAAACTTGGGGCAAATTGTATAACAGTGTATCAGTTTTATGTCCATAAGGTGCAGGACATAAAATCTTCCATATTTGAGTTTTTGTGAAGATCAAAATAAGATAATGTATATAAAGTTCCTTTGTATAGCATAGGACAACCTCCAATAAAGGACATTATTTTCTTGTTCTATATTGCTATTTTACTAATTTTATTTAATTAAATCAGTAACTTCTCAAGTTTCTGTGGTCCTCTATATTTGGATATAGGGTCACTTTTCCTCCATTACACACTTTTAAGTGTGAAGAAACAATTTGCATATTATATGCAGATCAGTAAACAAATGATTCCACAACTATTGTGAATCTTTGTTTCAAAGCCTAGAAATTGGAATTCTGCATATAAACTATTAAAATCTTGATGTTATATATTACAATCACAAATAGATCAGAGTGTGTGAGGAAAGCAAAGGTTAAGCAAAGAAAACCAAAGGTTAAGCACTGCAGGTTTCACAATTTTGTTTCTAGCACTCATAATTCTTCACAATCTTGGTAAATAAGTAGCTCTTTCATGTTTCTCAGAGTGTTGCTGAAGATTCTTAGTAGAGATGAGGCAAGATTAGAAGGTAGTAAATACTTACCGTAGGGCTGTGTCTTCTGTTATGCTTTCAGCATGGCATCCGGTACTATGTAAATGCATGAATAAAGTAATAAACATGCCAAAAAATGATGTTATGCATTTTATATACTCGTAACTTAAAAACCTTATTCTTTTAAATACTTTAATTTGAAACACTGCCTTCTTTTCTCTTGCTCTCATGATTTTTACCCTCCATATGTCTGTTAGTCCATTCCTCCACCTACCCACCCACCTACCTAAAGACTTGCTTATCTTATATTCAATGCATTGAGTACTGTGGAACCTGGGGTAACACAAAGATAAGTAATCTAGTGTGTGTGTGAGTAGAGGTATACACATGCACATAAATAGCCCAGGGATGTATTATAGGGTTAGGTAAGAGAAAAATGCCAAGTGTTGATTCAGTATGGAAATACCCAGCCTTTCAACAGTAGAGAATTTGGAATCAAGACTAATTAAAAAGTATTTTTAGTTATTATTTTGCATAATTGGGGATAGTGAATTAAGCTCAGTTCTGTTAAATATTATGCTAATACTGTAACAGAGATTTAGTTGAAAACATTTATTGAACAATTATTATGCACCAGGCAGTGTGCAAAATACTTTCCATGCATTGCTTCACTTAATCCTCATATGAACTTCCTGTAATAGATACTGTTATTACCTCGACTTTACAAATGAAGAAATCAAAACTGACAATGATAAAGCGGCTTGTCCAAGCACACACAGTTAACAAGTTGCAAGCAGTATATTGGCTACAATAATCTTTTAAAGTTAAAGCCGATATTCCACTCTCATGCTTAAAACAATTTCATCACTTAGACTGGAAAGCCAGTGTTTCCCAAAGGCCTAAACGCCCCATCCTAGTGCCCCAGCCAGTCCTCTCCTGCAACATCATGTGGCACAGTCTAGCTCAAGTGGTCTTCTTTCCATTCCCTGAACAGACTGAGCTTGTTTCCACATTAGGACCTTTGCTCTTTCTTTGCTGCAGATCTGCCCCTAGCTGGCTCGTTCTCCTCATTTAGGTTTCATCTTACATGCCACATCTTCTGAGAAGCCTTGCCTGGCCAGCAGGTCTAAAGGAACCCCACCTCTCCTCCCCAGTAATCTCTTACAATACTATATTTGGTTATCACATTTTCAAGTGGTTCTGTTGGTTAATTTATTTTTATCTTGATGACTCTAATGTAAACATGAAAGCAGGAGTCCTCATTTGTCTTGCTCCCCCATGTATCCCAACACCTAGAACAGAGCCTGATGCTCAGTAGATGCTCAATAAATATTTGTTGAATGAGTGATTGAGCTGATATGACTTCAGAACCTTAGTTATTAGCTGCCATCATAGATTGTCTTTTTTTGTGATTATACCACATAATAAATAATCTTATATTTGCTATTTTTCTTATTCCTACTCTTACAAATCAGTTATAAATATTTATGACTCCCTTTCATTACACTTGCCCCCAGCCTGAAAATGTCTTATAATTGTTTGACCTGAGCACAATAATCAATTACTTGGGGAAAAAAATCTTCCGTAGGCAAACTTGTAGGAAATTATAGAAAAGTCACTTAATTAATTTTGGACAATATACACATTTCTATTATTTGAATTTTTTTTTCTAATTTCTTAAAAGCTGAATTAAAAATTTACTTGTGGAACAATTGTTCTTTATATACAGTAAGTAACTTATTAATTGGTACATTCATTTTAGAGGAAGCTTGGTAGTATCTATAAAAGTCTAGAAGGTTCCTTTCAGTAAGTCTACTTTTTGGGACTATGTCCTACTGAAATACTAGCATTAGCATGGAAAGGTAGGTCTAAATACAAAATTGGATACTGCAACATTGTACATAATGGTGAAAAACTGTATTCAATCTAAATGCTTATCAATTGATGATACTATAATTAAATTAGAACATATACATTGGATGGAATACTATGCAGTTATTAAGAAATAGGAAAGTCTGTACATATTTACAAGAGAACATATAAGAGATATACTAAGTTTAAAAGCAAGTAGCAGACACTCTTAGTATGATTTTATTTTTATAAAATAAAAAGAAAACAAAATCCCTAACTGTTTATATGGTGAGGGGGGTGTATGTGATTGAAAATGCAAGAAAAGAAGTCTAGAGAACATACAACAAATTGTTAACAATGACACTGTCTTAGGCATGATATTGAAGGTGGAAAAAACCTTCACAATTTTAATTTATATATATATATGTGGTTTGATTTTATTTCAACAAGAATGTATTGTTTATAAAAAAAAATGCTGAAATTAATGTTACTATCTTGGAATCAAAATGGAATTCAGAGGTTGGAAACAAGAAGCATTCAGGAATAGAGCATATTCAACCATTACTATGGAGAGTCCTGAGGTTTTTTGTTAATGAAAGGACCAGAATTGGACCTTGGGTGGAATAGGCATAGGAGCTACATACTAGCTGTGTGACTTCTAACAAATTACTCACCCTCTTGCTGCCCAATTCCTGGGCCAGTTAATAAGAGTGAATTATTCCTACCATACAGCAATCTTGAGAAAAGTATAATGTGTGAGAAGGACTAACTAAGGTTCTACACATAAAGAGAACACAATGGGTATTTATAACTTTATCAATTCACTTTTATTTCTTTGCTTCTATCGCCTACCTGCAACTAACTACCTTTTAATTTTTTCTCATTTATAGTTTTTCATTTTTTTTCATTTTTCTTTTCTTGCTGTTGCTTTGATGATTGCATAGGAAGGAGGCCAAGGCTAACATGGGGTTTGGCAGTTATCAGTGGACACCATCCTTATTTTCATCATGATGTATCAGGATTCGAGCAGATGTTTAAAGAAATCAAAGGACTATGCTCAAAGTGACACAGCTAAGCAGCTAGAGCCAGGGTTCACACCCAGGCCTGATGCTGTGCATGAGCACTTCACCACCGCACTGTATTCACACTCTCTGGGTTCTCCTTCTCCAGTTTTCAATCAGTCAGAATTAGTCACAACTCAAAAACATCGTCATTCCCTAAATTTATTCTATTCTTAAAAACCAGTGAGGGGGTGAAAAGATGAGACAATAGTTGGGTTAGCTAAAAAAAATTCCATTAGGCAAGTATTTACTCCTGTTTTGAAAAGTCTGTTTTGGCCACACATTGTGCTAAACCTGAGGGGTCCAGGCAGGGCAGCAACTCAGATTTTAGTGATGGACATGTTAGCAGTCACTTTCGCTGAAGTCCCACATCTGTTTTATGAGCATGTTCTAGAAAATTAAGTACATTGTTACTCATGCCTGGGAGACAGACCTGGCACACGGAAGTGGTAAAATGCAGGGGTTGATTTTTCATGATTTAGTAAGGCAGTGAGTGGGAAAATGGAGTAAAAGTATGCAAAACGCAGCAGGCCTGAACTTCAGGTGTGAATTGAGTACCACATTTTGGTAGGTGCAGGCCAAATTGGAGAATATTTTTGACAAAATTCAGATTGTACAGGGTATTTTGTGAGCAGATATTTCTGGATCTATGACTGCTACCTTGGATTTGCTGGTCTGGACTCTGGACCACAGAAGCCTTGGCCTATGTTGGCATTAGAATGACATGTTAAATAAACAATAAGCATATTTTACATAGACTATAGTAAGATACAGCTAAAACCCATTAGTTCCCAAGATTTTAGAATGTATTAGCAATAGCAATGTGTGTCTTTAGAAAAAATCTTTCACTCATTTGAAACCTTTAAACAATTTTTAAATTGAGGAACTTGGTGAGAACAAATTACTTGTTAGAGGTTCATCCGTTAAGCAGTATGTAGGGCAGTAGTATATAGTAACACAGTTAAGTAGAGCAGGTATATATGAATGAACATATTTCTCTTCATACAGTTTTTTTCTATTTTTCTTACTCAGGTTAATTTTGTGGTTTATTAATGGAAGGAGACAATAAAAGTATCAAAGTTTACTGAGCAGTTACTATATATTACATATTTTACTAAATTCTTCATATGCAATAGCTCAGGTAAAGTACAATTCTAAGTGAATTCTAAGTGAATTATAAATCATTAGCAATTTTGTATAGTCATAAATAACATCTTGAGAACATTTTCGTTTCATATTCTACTCAATCTATTAAATTTTACCCTAAAAGAAACATTTCAGGATGCTGTGTAATTGGCTAATTATCATAAAATCCTTATGTATTGCTACATTTTGTTTTGGAATTACTGTTTATTTCAAGCAGATTAAGTCTGTGGCTAATAATCTATTGAGAGTAAAGAAAATAATTTACTTATGATATAAATACCTATAGTATTCCTGCAATTATATAAATTGGCATTTGACAACATGAGTGTGTGAGGCTTTTTGTTTTAGTGGTAGATTATTTCTTTGGTGGCTTCCAATGAAGCATAGAATACACACACACACACACACACACACAGAGGCACACACACACTTTTTACTTTTTAAAATCTGGGTCTAGGCCTACGATTTATTTACTTCAGTCAATAGAATGCAGCAGACATGAACATGAAACTGCCAGTTTGAGTTCCAGGCCTAAGATTTATTAAGGCATGGTAGTTTCCTCTATTGTTTTCTTGGAAACCATCTGTCATATGAAAACTTTGACTACTCTGAGACCACCATGCTAGGAAGAAGCCCAACCTAGCCATGTGGAGGAGAATCGAGACTCTGGTTAACAGTCTTAGCTGAACTCCTAGGCAACAGCCAGTATCAGCGCTGGCACCGACTTGCTAACCATGTGAAGGCATTCCGCTTCTAGCCATTCCAGTGGCTCAACTGGCAGCATGTGAAGCATGAGAACTGCTCATTCAATGCACAGTGCCATGAGAAACAATCAATTTTGCTGATAACCACTAATTTTGGGGTACACTAGACTCCCCTTATCTGAAGGAGATCTGTTCCAAGAACCCCAGTTGATGACTGAAACAACAGGTAGTGCCAAACCCTATATATACTATTTTTTTCTATACATACATACCTATGATAAAACTTAATTTATAATTTAGGCACAGTAAGAGATTAACAACCATAACTAATAACAAAATAGGACATTTATAATAATATACTGTAATGAATCCTTACAGTGGCCCCATGGGGGAGATATTTATATTCCTATTTTATAAATGAAGAAACAAGGTTGAGCTTGGAACTAATCTCTATTCTGTCTATAAGCTCATGCACATCTTCATCCATACCATCCCAGAAACTATTTATGGTTTAAGAGATTATCCTATTTACCCAAAACTCTCATACAGAAGCAATGACTGGCAAAATAGGTAATTCAAAACGCATTCCAATAACACAAGAAAGTTTTAAAATTAGGTTAGATCAGAGGTTCTTAATCCTGGCAGCGCATTAGAATACTCTGGGGAGTTTTCAAAGGCCAGTGATAACCCTGACCCAACACAAACATGTGAATTAGAATCTCTTCAAATAGAGTCCAGAAGAGCTTTTGAAAATCCCCTCAAATGATTCCAGTGTACAGCCAGGGTGGAGAACCACAGTGCATATATAGAGCTTTATGTGAGTGACCCCTGGACTGAGTGTGAGGAATTCTCACATCACTGTGTAGAATCACGGTGTTCACATACAACAGATGCTCAACAGATGAGTGTAGACTCATTGACTGAAATCCTGAAAGAGCTTTGAAATCTGGAAAGTTAAGACAATGTGCATTGGAAAGTTCAAGTACTGTACAGACACATCGTAGAAAGAAAAAGTAGGAGATACTGAAAATAAAATTATGCCTTCATTGTTAGTTGGTCAATTCAGGATTCCCTGCAGACTGTTTTATGACACCATGATTTCAGTCTATCTTTATTTTAGTTATAATGCCTTGCATACCTTCCACATCCAAAGTGTTTCAGAGAAAAGCTACTGATATGGCACAGTGCATGGCAGTTGTGGTGGCTATTTTCCCTTCCCTTCCTCACTCCTCTCCTCTTCTCCCCTCTCCTTCCCTTCCCTGCCCTTCTCAGCAAAGAAATTAGGGAGATACAAATAGAGCTGAAAGTGCTAATTTCATACATTAAAAAATTAGCCAAGCCTGGGCATAGTGGCTGAAGTCTGTAATTCCAGCACTTTGTAAAGTCAAGATGAGAGGCTTGCCTGAGGCCAGGAGTTCAAGACCATCCTGAGCAGTATAGTGAGACCACATCTCTATAGAAAATTTAAAAGTAGCCTGGTATAATGGTATATGCCTGTAGTCTCAGCTACTTGGGAGACTGAGGTGGGAGGGTTGCATGAGTCCAGGGGTTTGAAGTTGCAGTGAGCTATGATTGTGCCAGTGCACTCCAGCCTGGGTGACAGAGTGAAACTCTGTCTCCAATATATATGAAGCCTCTAAATGAAAGCGAGGAAAACACCATATATATATATATGGTGTTTGTGTGCCTCCTCTCTTTCTCTTTTTCCCTCCAGTTGATAATGGAATTTGGTCCCCCAATTCTCAATTAAAGAAAACCAGGGCTTTAATATAACATTTTGTTTGTTCAATTCCTGTCTCTTTCAAAAAAGTATTTGAGGCTGCATAGAAATTAATAGTGTTGCAGAAAATTAATAAAATATAAAAAGAAGAGTGCTAAAATTTTGGAAAAGGGGATGAAACACTATGATAACCACATGAACTTAACAGAATTTTGTGAATGAGTAAGAAATTTACTGTGGGCTTCCCCAGTAGTCAGGACAAGAAATAAGTTTGCATGGTTGTCAAGTGCAGAAAAGAGGAAGTACATAGCAACTACTTGGGGGTGACAAAGAAACTTCTGCTTTGAAATGTTATAGGGGACGATGCGTGTCATGACAGCAGCATCCTTGACAACTGCTTCACAACAAATACAAAGTAGTTTCAATATTGCTGTTCCCTGTAGTTGAAGACATAACTTGAAAGCCAAACTCAGTGAAGCTGATCTTCTAAGATGTTGAATTCAAGGAGTTGAACTTATCTTTATAACATAACCTTTCTTTCTTCTTGTTCTTAAAATTTTAGTCATTTTCGCTTTCATTTAGAGGCTTTTTTTTTTAACATTACAGTGGGGATGAATGATTTCTGTTTTTAACCTACCACATTATTTTGCTTTTTCACCGTTAACTGTTTACCAATTGAAAAACTTAATATTTATTTTCAGTTGCTTGGGATTCTTCAAGGGTCTGAGATCTGTCTGCCCTGTCTTGTTTTGGCCTTTGTTTCCCCTAAAGTGATACCTTGTTGATTGATAAGAGGCTGACAGACTTCAGGTAGTTACCCTGAAGGGAGTACAAGGCCAGGACTCACATGTGTTTTTCTTGGCTATGGAAAAGGAGCACTTTCCTCTTAGGATCATGCAGCTGCAAAAGTAATGATGGGATTGAGTGGAGCTTGGAATCTTATGGTGCAGGTATAGGTACAGATAGAAAAACCGCAAACTGCTGTCTCTCTTCCAGTGTAATAAGCTAGCAGATACCTGACTGTACAAAAAAAAACCTTGAATCCACGTTTGGGAAGTTCCTTTAGCTTAAAGTCTTGTGCTGGTGTTGTCTGGGACTCAGCAGCAATGGTGAGCTGATTTGAACTGAATGGAGAAGGCTGTCTTATGCAAAATCTGTTTGTGTAAACTTGCATTTCACTTGTTGGCAGCAAACACTAATGCTCAAAGACACACTGCCACTCATTTCTGAAAAGCACCAAATATTTGACTTTTATCTGCATTCAGACACAATCAGTTTCAAGTTGTTTCTGTAGCTATCAAACGTAAATATTTTAGATACAACAAGCTTATGAATTACATAACTTATGCTATCATCCTTGGAATTATAATTTTTTTATGATATATTGAAAAATTTATTGAACACTTACTTTGCAAATGACATTATAATAAGTACAGAGCAGGGGAATACAGCATAAATAAAAGACATGGTAATAGCCTAATGTAAACTTTCAGTGTAGTTGAAAAGTGAATATTTAAATTAAATTAGTTAAATTATTAGAAAGTTGAATGTTTTTAGGAGAGAACTTTTTTTTATTATGGTAAAACATGAATATGAGTATGACTAGAAAGCTTGGGGTGACTCAGAATAAGAGTGTAATGAACTTAAAGAATGGTTCAGAATAGGTAGACTTTAAACCAAATATTTAAAAAGACAATTAGCAAGAGTTAATAGAGATGAGTGAACCAGGAAAGAGAAGGATTAGGGTCATACCTTGAACATTGTCTTCTGTTACCTGGAAACTTTATGAGATGGAAAACTTGCCTGATAATATTTTTTATTGCGATATAAAAATACAATCAAGAAGTTACTTTTAAAACGTATATAAGGCTCTGGTGAATGGATTATTTATTTCAATTATTTGAAACACAATATTGCAGCATGACAAAATGTTTTGAAATTATTTTTGACATATTTTATAACCGCATGTGATATAAACGTATACACACATGTACCTATATAAATGTTGTGTATGGCCCCAGTAAGTTCCTTGATGTTAAGATGATACTTCTTACAATTAATCTCCTTCATCTATCATCCTCAGTAGGAGTGAGTACTCTTCATGTGTTATTTACAATTTTCTAATTCAGTTTATCATTTCAAGAATTTTACATTTAAAAAGGCACTTCTTATCACTTCTCAGCCTTTTGGTTAAGATCAAGTGTAGTATCCATTCTCACCAGTTTAAAAAGGCATTTTTTTTGCTTCTATTGAAAAAGTCTGAAAACAATATCTTAAGATATCTTCTTATCTTTTAAATTTATTATAAAACAAGTTTTGAATTTAATTTGGATAATTTTGCCACATTATTTTACTTATCTTTTAAGATAATTGGTTTTATTTATTTTCGAGAGGTTTCAAATCTATATTTTAAAAACTCTAAAAATTGGGACTTCCCTTAACTGATACACATAAAATAGCTCTTAATAATATTGTAGTCATACCCCATTTAGACAAATTCAGTTGGGATAGTGAATTAGTCATGATGAAAGAAATTATTCTATAGTTTTTAATTGCTTTCATTCATAGTGTCTCTTCCAAGGATTCATTACCTTCTAATTCATCCATCTATCCATACATTCATCCATCTATCTATCCATCCACCTATTTTTTCATTCATTCATGAAATATGTATTAAGTACCTACTATGTTCAAGGGAATGTGCAAGGGAATGTCTGGATGGGTGAGAAGGTGTCATAAAAGTGAATAAATCATGAGACTTACGACTCTGGGAGACAGTAAGAAAAAATGTTAATTTCTGTAAATAAGGGCTAAATAATGTGCTTTAGCAATTCGCAGATAACAAGGAAAATTTCCCACTTTTAGAGAGATGGAGTGAGTGTTTCAGAAATGCTTTGTCATTGAAGATGAGCTACTCAATTTTTGTATTTTTGTGGATAAGGGAAGGTATATTTTACTCCTTTTAGGAAAACGAGTGATTGAAGATATCTGTTCTCAGCTCAGAAGGCCTAGAATATGCAAAGATTTTTCAAGACATTGTTAGCACATCAATGTCTATTTTTGGTAGTTAAAATACAGAAGTTATTAAATACTTACTAAAATTACAAAAAGTATATGAAGTTATCTGCCTTCAAAGCCCATGTTCTTTCCTCTGCTTCCTACTGAAGAAAGCTTAGTTACAATACTGCCATGTTTTTTAAGAAGTGTTTATTGTTACCTTTGCTCTTTGCTCATTTTTTCTTTTGTTTAATATTATTTTCAGAGGCAAAATCAGTAAAGGCTTGGAGGATTTAAAACGTGTTAGTCCAGTAGGAGAGACATATATCCATGAAGGACTAAAGCTAGTAAGTTATTTTACATTTGTAAATATGGGAGAGAATGCTTTCTTATTCTGTGGTGAAATAAAACCCTCTAGCAAAGCTCAGTAACCTCATTACATATTTATCTTAAAGTTTTTAAAGTGCTTTTAGTTGTTCCAGAGTTGAGACAAGTAGAAAAAATTATTTACTATGGTGATGAGAAAAGTTAAGATGGCTTTTGCCTTTTAAGGAATTTTCCATTTCCCTTGTGGTTATATTAAGATTAAGCAGCCACAGCTAAAAATCTATATAATTTAAACCCAATAGTAACTACTCTGTAATGTGAATATATGCATATTTCAAATAAAATAGTTAACACAAATTACCCTGTTTTAAAAGCTAGCCAGTAATATTTTGATTTTGTCAGACTTACAAATTCAGCTTGATGGAACATGCTGGTTAAAAGTTAAAATTAAATTGTGAGTTGGATAATTATTCTTCATTTTCAGGCGAATGAACAAATTCAGAAAGCAGGAGGCTTGAAAACCTCCAGTATCATAATTGCTCTGACAGATGGCAAGTTGGACGGTCTGGTGCCATCATATGCAGAGAAAGAGGTGAGTATTGAACTGAGACTGTTCTCTACACCCCACTGTACATCGCTGTGTGTCTCGGAATGTATAGCTTGATATTTGAATAATTCACTTTCTCCCTCTCCCCTCTCTTTTTTTCTCTCTTTCCCTCCTCATTCTCCATAGGCAAAGATATCCAGGTCACTTGGGGCTAGTGTTTATTGTGTTGGTGTCCTTGATTTTGAACAAGCACAGGTAAGTTACAAGAGATCTGCAAACTTTAATCTGAACCACATAATTGTCTTAAGGATAGTTTAACAAATTCTTTTCACTGATGACATTGTGACACTGGTCGATTGTTAAAGATTTTTTATAGAAATGGCTGTAGGTTTTGAGTACTACCTTAATAATGTAAGAATTTTAATAGGTTTTGTTACTGAAAATGAAACTTTAAATCTCTCAATTGTTTGGTTTGGTAAACTAATATAAGGTAAACATTTGGCTTGAAATGATACACATATTTCTCTTAACTCAATTGACAAAATGTTATTATATTATATATATAATATGTAGTCATATTATTATAATGTTAGAATTTCTATTTTATTTAGAATTTGACTCTAATGAAAGTCCATCTAATGAAAGTCTGATCATTTTTCTTACAAGACCATTTTTTTCATGAGATTTGAGGGTTTATATATTTGAAAATGTTTCACTCATGAAGTTATTTTACGTTTAAATTTTTGCTTGAGCATGGCTTAGACTCCTGAGTCACGCTGTTGATAGCTGTTAGATTTCCTCTGCACTGTTTTGAAATTGCACTTGGGGCCAACTTAAAGGTACTCTGACTGATCTCAATTCATTTTGTGGTAATACATTTAGAGTAACACTAGTATCATCACCTTTAATTCCTGACCTTGAACACAGATCACGCTGGTAAATTAATCCTGTGGGGTAATTTTTCAGATGAACATAACTGAAATGTAACGAAGTTTATAAATTGTTGTATGTGTCAGCCACTCCTTAATTAAGTCTTCCTCTTCTTTCTAAAGCTTGAAAGAATTGCTGATTCCAAGGAGCAAGTTTTCCCTGTCAAAGGTGGATTTCAGGCTCTTAAAGGAATAATTAATTCTGTGAGTATTTCTCTGGGGGCAGGAAGGGCTCATAACCTTGTATATTTTTTTAATCTATAAGAAGTAATCTTAATATCCAGTGCAGGTGGTCATTATCTAGAGGAAAGAGATTAAGGAAGAGATTTGTTTGGTATTGCAAACAGTGTAATTCTAAAGATGTGAATTTTGTTTGTAACTGACATTTGGTATTAATTCTTGCATGTTGGGCTCTGTGAGACTGGGTTTGTGGTTTCAAGTTTAAGATTTTAAGTCTCAGACACTTTCACCCTTTGATTCTGGAGTTAACTGTCTTGATATCCTGAAAGTTTTATAGGTTTTATAGGAGAAATTTAAAATAAAAATTTGGATTGATGTGTGATTACTCCCTTCTCCAAATATAGTATCTGTTTTAACTATATCAGTCAGGCAACTTGAACTAGTGGCTATTTGACTACATTTGTTGTTCTTTCCATTTAAATGATTAATAGTTTCACTAGAGCACATAATATTTCTGTTTGGAATTCAGTTGTGCTGTCTCTAGTGATCATTAGAATCTAGGCTATCCTAAACAGGGTTTGGGGAAGGAGAGTGATGAAATGCAAAGCAAAACTCCTGGGCTTTCATAGCTGAGGTTTATGTTTCATTTTACTGCCTTTTGCTACAAGCACTGGGAACAGTTGCTATTAAGTATTTATGATATTTTGGTAAACACCATCCTAAAATGGAAGTGAATAATATATATTCTCTAAGCCAAAGCATTGAAAAAAAATCTTCAGGGGAAAAAATATCAGTTTCTTCTAACATTTGGTTCTGGGATTTTAAATTTCTCTTTAAAGATCATGTTGTTTAGAAACACAAAATGAGATTTATTGTATTTGTTTTTAGTAGCACGTAGGCTTTTAAAAAAATTAATGGAGCTTTTCAGAGAAAACATAATTTGGTTTCATCACTTATCAGTACATCTAGTGGACAAACCAAATGTAAGTGCAGAATGGAACAGAGATTCAATTATTTTTGTAGTTTACATATATTGTTGTGTTTAGGTTTTAGGGAATAGTTGCAGTGTAAAAATAGTAAATAATTTTATAGCTGGATTCAGGATAAATAAAACTGATACAACTGTGATTTAAGTTTTAAAATACAGGATACAGTACTGACAATGTAAAAAGGAGGATAATTTGACCCTCTAAATAAACAAATCAGTGGATTGTATTTTAAATAGAATTTTATTTTGCTCTGGGATTTGTAATGATTTTTATAATTATACTGGGAAGGAGAAAGGACCTCTCTGGGCTATTCCTTTGGATTTTTTTAATATCTAAAAGGTTTAGCTCAGAATTACCCAGATGATGGATTGTTTCCAAAACTCTATTTTTATGGGTAATAACTACAGATTTCCCCTTCAAGGAATTAGTAGCTGAGTTCCAGATGACATCGTTATCATTGTTTTATTATGTTTGTTGGATACATTTAATTTTTCTATTTTTATTAGGGAACCTCTAGAATGTAACTTCTAAGTATGGCCTTTCTTGCCTAAAGTTCTTGATGAACTTTAACTTAAGTTATGTTGAAAGATTTAGCATGAAATTAGGAAAATTTGCATTATTTTAGCCACAATTTGCCAACAAAATCTCTTGAGTGTTGTTTGGAGGGAGATCATGGGTATAGTTTTCATGTCAATACAGTTAAATTTCAGCTATGTGCTCACAAAGGGAAGAGTAAATTATTCTTAGGAAAGTCACCTTTTGGGGAAACATCGTAGTATCTGGCAGAGTTGGCAGGTGGAAAGAAGGAGCCATTACAACCAAACCTGGTTTGATTAATGGTTGAGATTTTTATCAACGTGATTGATAGTTTGAGATTTTTGCCCACTTTGTAGAAATTAAAGGCAATGTAAACTTTCATGTATTTTCAAGGGCAAAGATTGCTCCATCCCTCATAGTATACAAAACCTATAATTTTGCCTTAAATTTGAATTGGACTTTATAATTGCATAGTACCATCTGATTTTTAAAAATATCTATTAGATCTTTAAAACAAATATAGTGTTTCTGTCACATGGCTAGGAGAGATAGAAGAGACTATACTCTATTCTTTATGATTTATCAAACTAATGGGTGAAATTATACTGTGGAATGTATTTACATAAAGCTAAGCCAATAGAAGAAATAAAAAATTTTAAGTCTTTCAGATATGTGGCACTATGAAGGCAGAATATTTGCTAAATTGATAATTTTTTTTCCTGCTCATTGTTTTTTAAATAAATCTGGCCTCATTGTCAGTGCATTAATTTTTATGAAGTTAATCCTTGAAAAAAATTGACAACATGGTTTTTATTGTTTTGTTTGTTCTCTCTCCCCTCTAAAATCCAATGACCAAGATAGTCTGGTCCCCTTAATGTAAGATATCATATATTGTTAAGACATCATTTGTCTAGAATTAATTTCTTAATAGCAAAGATTAAGAAAGTTTTATTTTGGAGCCTTTCTTCATGGTAGTTAAAAAAAAGAAGAAACACTGTAGTAGTTCTGCTTTTACAACTCAAAAATCAAGGGGCTGAAAAAGGCCTTTGTTATGAACATCCTGCACGTTAAAATTTTAATGCCTTCTCTAAAATGTATTTGATCCAGAAAATCACTTAAGCATTCTATTTTAATTTTGGGGAAAATGCATTGTTTTAGTATTTTTAGATTTCTATCCAGGCAAACATGGTATGTAACAGTTTTGGGGAATATTGATGTAATTTCCAATCTTAGCTAGTTGCATATGAAGGTTTGTAATTCATTATCTCAAGTATATACTGGAAGGAAACATTTCTTCTTTTTCTCCTTTTTTTCCTCAATGAGCTCATTCTTTCATTAGTTCATTTACTGAGCCCTTACTATTCTTAAGGCATTGTGTTATGATTAGAAGAAGGATATAAACTTGAATAAGACATATTCTCTCTAAAGGGGCTTGAAATGAATGATTATTTGAGGTTTGGAGTATGGTAGTCCCCTGAAAGATTTACAAAGCATTGTGGACATTTAGAGGAGGAAAATTTCAGTGAGTCACCTTAGGGGATAAGAAATAATCTTATAACGCAATTGGTGTTAAATGCCAATATGCCTATAGTGTAAGGTGACATAAAGACAGGATGGGTTTAGTTATGCGAAGTTATGGGAGGCCTTTCATTGTGAAATTTGAACTGGACTCTGACAATTGGGATAGATTTAATGAGAAACAAAGAGCACAGAACTTCAAGAACTATCTGAGCTGACTGGCTGAGGTGTAGGCTGGAATGTGGTTTGGCTAGGATCATGGGAGGTATGGGGGATAAACATTGACGGGTAGCGTGGATTCAGATTATGGAGACTTTCACATACTTGTTTTGAGAATGCGCTCATATTTCATAAATAAGTAGGAAATTATCGAAGATTAATTTAGAGCATGGGATTTATATAATGGCCATGCAGGTTTAGGAAGAGTACTCTTATAATAATGTACAAGATGATTTGGAAGATGATGATGTGTTATAAGTATTTTGCTGTCATCCTTGTGAGACACGATGAAAGGAAGCACAGCATAGTGGAGACAAAATGCAGTTGGGAATAGGAAAACCTGGGTGTGAATTCCAACTCTGTCTTGCCAAGTGACCTGGGGTATGTCCGGCAATGTAATTTCTCTGAGTTTTAAAACCCTCAGTCAAATGGGAATAGTGATTTCCATTTTGTTGTTTTATTTTTTAAATTAAATGAGATAACAATTGAGAATGACCTAAGTTAGAAGGGCTTGGCTTTAAATCATTTGGTAGAAAGCTAGGCATGGCAGGAAACTAACCCAGGGCTAATGATGGGGCTCCTGATCCTTCTGTCGGGCAGTCCACTGAGAGAGATGACCCCCAATCTACTTAAACAAGGTCTTAGGTACAAAAGGACATGGCACTGACATGTAAGAGGATCAAATTTAGGATGTGAGTCATGACAACAAGGATTTTTAGATAGTGTAGCACACAAAGTCAAGCATTTGGATGTGCGCTGGTATTAAATCCTCAAGCCGTAAGATCAGGACCTAGCCAACAACTTGGAAACAAAATTCAGTATTCCCATGACAAAAGCTATGTAGAATTTCTGGACCGCACATTCAGAGGAGAGACACAATTCCTGTGGTGGGACTTATAGTACTAATTAGAAATTCAGAGAAGAAACTCAGTAGTTTTGGAAGAAACAGTGGATCATCATAGTTCCTTAGGGATTATTCTTGGCACTGGGATTCTGTCTTTCGCAATGGAACTAGGTCAAGGATCATGAGGGAAGCACCTAATAACCTCTTTATTCTGGCAAGCATCATGTCAGGAACAGGGTGGGGCTAAACCTCCAGGTATAAAATCTTTGACTCTTGTTGAGCTGGGCTCCGAGAGACATGGCAAATATTAGCTGTCAAATGTTAATTATTGTTAGTATTAGGATGGGCAGTGAAACTGGAAGTAAAACGTTAAATTTGGGAAGCATTAAAATATTAGTAGAATTTGAGAGCTCACTGGCTATAGGGTTCAAGAGACAGAGAGAGGAGTCAAAAGTAACTTGGGCATTCTGTCCCTGACTAAGATGAATGACTAAGAATAGAGCAAAAACTGTTTTTACAGAGGGGACAAGAGGGTTATTGTACAAAATGGAAGAAGGCATAGGGCAGAGGGGGAAGTTGATTTGAGCTTGAGAACAAAAGCCCAGTGGGGGATATCCTTTAGGGAGTTAGAGGCCAGGTGGAATGGAAAGGCTAGAAAACCCTACTGTCATTATGCTTCCTCATTTTCTTTCTCCCCTCCCATTGTCCACAGACACAAGCACATATATATATTCTCTTTTTCACTTTCCACTTCAGATTATCTTTAAATCCTTGGAATGTTAAATTATTTTTGTGTTCTTGGGAAGGTGATTGCATGACTTATATTTGAAAATGAAATTTTATTTGAACTAGTAAAGGTCAGACTGAGATGTGAGTACCCTGTGGGTTCTAGTTCAATGTTTCATAATGCAGACTATGGAAGATAACATTAAAAATAAAAGAAAACCACAGATTGGTGAATAATATGGAAAGAATAAAAATCAAAATGTTCTGTGCCCTTCCTTGTGTAAAAACAGGACCATGGGATGTTTCACTATTTGGAATTATTCCCACATTTTTTTTAAGAATACCTCAGAAAGTATTAAGCAGAAAGAAATAAATCAGTTGTGAAGCATGTTTTATAAATAACCCTTGTCCAAAAGAATTGAGAACACTACATCCTAGGTGATGGTAGTTAATGCCAGAGTTTCTAAGTTTTTAATGGGAAAGTATACAAGCATAAATAGGAAGGGAACGATCATCCATACATTTAGGACATTTAAATAAACCTGAATTAGATAGTTTCTAAAGGGAAAAGTGAAATTTCAAAAAGTACCTACATTCATAGTGCTGGAGATATAAGCTTCATTTCACTTTTGGAGTGGAATTTTTTTCTCAGCAATGTCTGTTGTTGTTTGTTCTTAGAAAAATATCTAAGAAGAAAAGTGTCTAACACTATATTTTATATTGTCTAACACTATATTTTAATGGAATGAGAAGACATTGCAAACACATTTTCTCTTAAGGCAAATCATTTTCATAGAAGAGGGAACCTAATAAACACTCTGATAATACCTTAGCTTAAGTGATTTTAGCACACTCTGCTATGAATGTTGACCACTTAGTTGTGAAAACTTCTATTTGTAAAATTACGGTTTGATGAAAAACCTGAAGCCTGAGCAACTGTAAAGATACATTCATAGGAGAAACAAAAATGGTAGGACTTACTCAAAACTGGAAACCAATTTTCAGGACTCCTGTTAAAAAGGACTGGCTATAATGTAAGAATAACTGTATATCAGATTATTCTAGGCTTCTCTTTGTCCAAGGATCATTAGCGCTGAATGTAGATGAGGTATTTCATTATAATAACTTTCACATTAATGGTATGAAGGTTGAAATTGTATTGCCCCAACTCCTGTTTTTGTTTTTTTTTTTTTTTACCTAATGCTTAATCTAGTGTTGGGTAAGTAGTCATTGCTTAATTCATATTTCTGAATTATAAGTAAATAAAATCTATGCAAGTTTTTGAAAATATTCTTATATTTTTATAATATAGTTATGGTATATTGGAGCATTAAAAATTAACCTCTGATTCCATGTGCATTAGATAAATAAATAAAATGAATAAAAATCTATGCAAGTTCTTAAAAATGTTTTTATATTTTTCTAATGTAGTTATGGTATATTTGAACATTAGATAATTAACCCCTGATTTCATATAAATTTGATTTCATCCTCATATTTATGTTTCACTGTATTAAGACTCTTTTGATTTCACATGACAAGAACTCAGTTAATAATAGTTTAAGGAAAAGAAAAATAGAATGTTACTGGCCTGTAACTAGGTGGTCCAGAGAGGGAAATTACCTCAGGTACAGCTGGATCCAAGGAATCAATCATGTTGTCAGGGTCTTCTCTCTCAGTAAGTTTTGCCTATGTTTCTATTTGCCTCATTCCTTGTTTAGATGAATGGTGGTGAACTGTAATTGCAAAAGGAGGCTTACATGGTCCTCAGCAAGTATATTGGAAAGTGAGGGGTGTTGTCTTTGCATCAGTGTATAGGGTCCCAGATAAGAACTCTAATTGATTCGGTTGAGTCATGAGCTCATTCCTGTACCAATTCTGTTGGGGGCAAGGGAGAGAGGGAGAAGAAGGCACTGTGATTCACAGCCTCACTAGGACCACATGGAGTGGAAAAGAGTTTCCCAAATAGAAAGGAGCACTATTCATAGAAGTGTAAGGGTGCAAAAGTGTCCAGGGTAGGAACAAAAAAATCAGTAGTGATGACAGCTCACTATATTCAAATACATTTAAAATATTTTGACATATATTCTAAGAAGACACCCCATTCCTCCGAAATCCCACTTGATAATAAACATAGAAAGTTTCCTTTAAATTATTCATTTTATTAACTGATCTTATTTTGGCCTCTACTGTCCAAAGCTGTATTTGTATTTGCATGAAAATATTCCCTAATAATATTATTATTTTCTTTTTTTTAAAAAAAATTTGGTTGGGATTGTAGTTTAAGAAAATTAAATCCACTTTGAATAAATAAGTACAGCTTTGTGATAGTTTGTGAGAAAACTAAACTAAACTGATGACATTTGGTTACACAGATAAAATGAAATTCCAAATTTTAATTTCTTAACATTAACCTGTTGGACTATAAAAGGTGTCCTACAGAGGCTTACCTGCTCTTAAAAGCAGATTTAATTGAGTGGAAGGAAATTGAACAGGTGCAGAAAATGGTTAATATTTGTCACCAAATGTACCATTTGGTGTACATTATGAGGAAAAATGTACAATTTCTCAATTATACTTCATTTTCTCCAAATATAATAATTCTCAGTTGATTCAGAAGCATTTGTTGGGTACTGGGCTGTGTTCAAGACACTTTGCTGTGTTTTGTATTACCAAAATGGGTATGGTCCCCAAACTCTTCAGAGCTTACAATTTTTAGGATGTGTATTTGGAAAATTAATAGAAGAATTAGTAAGATATTTTTTCTATTATTGTTGCATAGGGAAACATTTCATTTGCCATCCTGGATTTCTGAAAAATCAAATGGAATAAATATAGACTAAGACTGCTTGGCAGATATACTTCATGTCTTAGTAAAACAAGAAAGTGGGCAAATAAGGCTAATACAAAATAATGTTTGCATCAGAGTGAAAATTATACCATGAACAAGTTTCTTCAAATTCTGAAATAGTCTATTTATTATTATTTTATCTCATAAGTTCAAGGCAGTTTTTATAGGAAGCTTATTTATTTTCTAAGCTAGCATTAAATGATTATTTTGAGTTTGTGGTGACCAAAGACAACAACGACAACAGCAAAACCAAAAAGTAGTGGCAGATAAACTTGTTTCCAATCACAAACTATGCATTTTTGGAATTTTTTCTATATTGTAATGAAACAGCAAGACTGCTAATATGATTTATTTTAAATATCAGAATTGTGAGATGTGGAAGAAACTAAAGTTTTAAAAAAGATTTATTATATGAGAGTATGTTCATCAACAATGTAATCAGAACTATCCATCTGTTTTGTTTGGAGCTCAGAAGACTAAAAGACAATGAGTATGATTTACCTTCTTCCACAGTTCTCTTAGGGTAAAAGTTTGTTTAGAAATTTGTCATGTGTGCTTTTATTCCTTGCTTACTTGCAAGACAGAAGAGAATCCATATTTAGAAACTAGTCAGAGTGGTGTGTGCTGTATTGAGCAACTGATATTTTGAAGCTCTAAGCATTTTTAAGGAATGAACTCAACCAAAACATGTGATTATAAAATAGCAATTGTTCTTAGTTGAAGTATTACCCCTTAGAGAAAAATATATTTGGCTGGGGTGTTTGGAAGCCATAGAAAAAATAAAAATCACACATCTGAATATTAAAAGGTGAAAAGGAAACAAGACAAGAGGATGAGAAACACCTTTCCAGTTGTTTTTGCTGCTTATGTTATGCAGTTGGATGTCTAATTACTAAAGCTTCATTTTGTTAGACCTTTAAAACTAATACTTTTCATATATTTTCTCCTGATTTAAACTTGAAATCTTTTTGTATTGGGGATGAATCCTTTAGTGTTTAAAGCTGCTCAATGAGTCAGGAAAAAAAAAAAAAACCTTGCTTTTTTAGACTCTACTACCCTTGCCAATATTTTCTGACATGCTGTGGGTCATGGAAATTGGCAGTTTCTATCTGTTAAGGACACACCTGGAGCACTTGTAAATTATTTGTGATGATCGGTTGCCAGTGATGTTATAGATCCAAAATCAGTGTCAAAAAATTCTTGCTGAGGTGAATATTTAGAATTTTTAATAGATTTGTAAAAATTTTGGAGAACTTTAGGTAGCACATGTGAATGTATATATGAAGAAATAATCTATTTTGGGGAGGAAAAAGCCTTATTATTTAGAGTTGATCCTAAAAAATGTTATTACAGAGGAAACCATTTAATGGGAGTTAATACCCCTTTTCTCTTTTTATATATTCTACCTAAAATAAGACTTTAAAAAGAAGATAACACATAACTTAAGTTTGTTTCTCTTCATGTTGTTTTTGTTTTTGTTTAGTTTTGCATCTGGTCCAATATGCCTTATAGGTACTATTAATTACCAAAATTTGAATTTATCCAAATAATTTTTTTCACTGTGTGTAACTGAAAATATGCTTTGATTAATTCAAATAACTTCTCAGTAAGCTCTGTATCTTTTTACATGCATAACTCTTAGTGTTATATGCTCTGTTTTTTATGTTATAGTCATAATGGCCATGCTTCTTATTAAAAAGTTTTGCATTTACTTTTTAATTAAATAGAATAAACATTCATTGAGTAGCTGCTATTCATAAGATATTGCGCTATATACTTTTTATATTAGATTGAATTTTGAATATGTGGTGTTATTCATTTTAAAAGTTTTTATTTCATTCTTCTGGAATGGACTGCATTCTGTTTTCCAGATATAGTATCCTTCCTGTTGCCACTTAGAAATTAGAAAAAAAATATGGATTTTAAAATATGTCTAGGCTTATATTAATTGTAGGAGGTGTTTTTGTTTTGGTCAAGCTGGGTGGTTGATCTTCAAGTCCTAAGGTCTAGCTCATAGATGTTTCTCTCAAATTCAACATAAACTTCAAAGACAACATAGGTCCTAAATAATATTTTGATTTTATCTCCCCATCTTAATTTATTGCATGATAAATTATTATCTTGGATCGACACCAACTACAACTCTCCACAAATCCCATATTACTTTAAATACCAGAAGAAAAGGCCATAACTATATCCATTGTGTATGTTTTTCAGGACATGATATTGCTTTTATTACCTCTTATGTGTCCTACGTTTGTTATTATAGCATGTGTCTTTTATGTAAACATATTCAGGAACTTACAAGATCTCAATCAAAGTATGATTCCACATGTATCATGAAACCTCTAAGAAAGAAGAAATTAAGTCAAGGTTCTCACAAAACTCATGCCTTCTGATGATTTCTGGTTATTTTTGCTATGGATGTTTCCTTGACAATACCAGCAATTTGTCTTTACCGTCAGTTATTATTCAATAGTTGTAAAAACTTGATTGTAACCATATAGGCAAGCAAGATAGGAAACTTCTTTGTAGCCCGTTGGATTCTTGGAGTATTTGTCCCTCTGACTTAGCGTTGGTTCTCAACCTCCAGCAAACCTTGCCAATTCTGATTCTAGAGTGAATTTCTGCCTCTTGTCATGTAGAAAGGAGATTTGGCCTTTGGTGAATCCATGCAACCTGACCATATTATACTAGATATAGACTCGATGCAAATTAATTTGGGACATTCCTAGAGTGTCCAGGCTTAAACACTGTTCTGATGCTTCATTCAAGTTGGGCTTCAGAGAAGAGACAACAGTAGAATCTACTTTCATCTCCTGCCAAACATCTATAATCTCAAGGAGGCCAGCAGGCAGGGCAGTCACAGCTGACTCTTACGGCTGGATCTGGACTTGCTGCTAACTGAAAACAAACCCAGAGGGATACATAAACAGCTTTATCTTATCCTGCACTTCTCCCTTGCCAAATAGAAAAATTCCATGAAATTAGTTAGCAGTGTTCCCTGAACTATTGAGAATATTTTGCTTATCTGAACTGTATAAATAATGCATCAAAATTTTATACGATCAGTTAGAAGCAACAGAAAATGTCATTATAATTTATAAGGGGTTAATGTTATTATCCCATCAGCAGTTTTATCCCAAAAACTTAGCAAAGGGAAAAATACTTGGGTTTTGAATTTCTCATGTTAATACATGACAGACTTTTTACCACACATTTTAAAGGAGGCATTCAAGACACATCTTAAGTAGGAGAGAAGGTTTCAGTGAGAAAGGATAGTGACTGTTATTGCAGAGATCAAATATTTAAAACTAGGCATTTAATTCACTGGCACAATATGGAATGCAGCCATTTTATACCAAATATCAGAATTTAGAACTCAATATGTTTTTTAAAATTCCATATTTGTATAAATTTTTGGGGTACAAGTGTAATTTTGTTACATGAATATTTTGCTTCAGGATGAAGTCAGAGCTTTTAGTATGGAATAAGACACATTGTACCCACTAAGTAATTTTTCATCCTCCACTCCCCTCTCTCCCCCATGCTTGTGAACTCTTTTCTATTGTATATTTTTAGCAGACTATCAGCACAAGTCTTACAGATAGTATTGTGTATACCAATAGCTATTTTGCCTAGACGGATTCCTCCTGGAAGTTCATACCTTTATTTCTGCCTATTCTGTGCCCTCTGAGAACAACCATCGGTTAAAAAGGTTTTAGAGACCCTGTGATTCACAAATATAAGAGGGAAAGAAACTAAGAAAAGGAAAAACAGAGAAATTGGCCTTATAGGTAGACCTGTTTTTGCGATGTTGGGATCCCATTTTAGATTTTCCCTCATGCTGCTTGCATTTCTTGCTTTAAAATTGTTAGACTGCCTGAATTTCCATGCACAGTTATTTTTCATAGCTTAACAAACATCACTTTGAGTTTACAATATTATCAATTCACATATTCACATTCAATATAAAGTATGAATGAGTTCATGAGATAAGAATAGGTACAATAAAATGGAGTATTTTGGGAGATAAAGGAAACCTATATAGAGAGCATATTTAGAAAAGAAGTAACTGTGTGTGTCTAGCAACCTAGGTGAGACAGTGAGGGGGAGAGGACCAAAGGCTAACATTCCATATGAAAAATGTACCCAATGTCTTCTCCATGTCCAGAAAAAGTATAGAGAAAGAAAGAAAAACACCCCCAAACTTCTGCCTCACATTTCTGCTCCCAACTCAGGTAAATTCTAAAATTTTAGAACTATGAAACCTAGATGTCATTCACATAGTTAGTAAAGAAAATGTGTTCTAAGATCATATAACAAATTTAATTTTTATAAACGGAGTTTTGCAGTTTTCTAAGTGCCTGTTGTCTTCGAAAACCAGAGTTAGGGCTTGTGGTAGCTTGTTGTTCTAGTATGGCCTCTTTTGTCTTTTAGGTTCTGAATGATGCTGAGAAGTAAAAACTATGTATTTTTATCTGTGCAAAACAAATTTGAGATAGAAAGCATTAATACAGTAAGACAAGAAAGAAACATAATAATAAGAGAGAGGGCCCTAAGTATTTGGCTATCTTATAAGTTACTAATTCATAGAATGATTAAACATTTTAAATCCAAAGTCAATGGCATTAGGAATTTTAAAACAAACATACATTCTATTACAAAGATACATGCATGCGTATGTTTATTGCAGCACTATTCACAATAGCAAAGGCATGGAATCAACCCAGTTGCCCATCAATGATAGACTTGATTAACAGAATGTAGTACATATACACCATGGAATACTCTGCAGCCATAAAAAGGAATGAGATCATGTCCTTTGCAAGGACATGGATGGAGCTGGAAGCCATTATCCTCAGCGAACTAATGCAGGAACATAAAACCAAACACTGCATGTCCTCACTTACAAGCGGGAGCTGAATTGTGAGGTCACATGGACACAGGGTGGGGAACAAGACACACTGGGGCCTGTTGAGGGTGGGGTGGGGAGAGAGAGAACATTAGGAAAAATAGCTAATGTGTGCCGGGCTTAATACCTAGGTGACAGGTTGATGGGTGCAGCAAACCACCATGGCACATGTTGACGTATGTAACAAATCTGAACATCCTGCACATGTACCCCAGAACTTAAAATTAAAATTAAAAAAAAATTTTGAGAAAAAAGGAAAGAAGATCCTAACAAATAAAAGCAAAAGCTTAGTGATATACTTTCGAGGATAAGGAATAAGCCAGATTTTAGATTGTTTTTGGTAGCATTACAGGAGTCCAGACAAAACAGGCAGATACATTTCACTAGTTTGTTAAGAGTTAGATTTTGTAATGGTTAGATTATCCATCACAAACCTGGAGGGTGGTGGAAGGTGCTGGCTAGAAGAATGGGGTTTGGACTCAATAAAACCTGGGGACAACCTAGTTAAGAGCTAATTCTTCTAGGGCAGTTAAAAAAATCTTTCTAAGCCCCAGTTTCCTCATCAATAAAACATGGATAAAAATATTTGTTTATTAGACTTATGAGGATTAGCTGAAAAAAATTCATAAAAAGCACTTAGCATAGTTGCTGGAACATAAGTGCCCAATGAATGGTTAACTATTATCATGTTAGAAATTCTTTTGAATTTTGGACTACTGATACTTGTACTTAATTTAGAAAATTTGACTTTTTGTTATCTATATTAATGTTTGAGGACTTAAAACTAGGGATTAGGTAATAAGGTATATAATTTTTTTATTTGTAAATACTCCTTAATACTAATATTACTTTTTGGGTGAACAGATGCTTCGATAGTATACTTTTTCATGGTGATATCAGGTTCTTTGCCAATATGTGTGTGTGTGTGTGTGTATGTGTGTGTGTGTGTGTCTATGCATGCGTATATATCCCCCAAAATATCAAATGATGAAATTTTGCATTTAGTGTGTGCATGACTTAACATACCCTAGATTTATTAAGCACTTGATTTATCTTTAAATTTGATCTATTGGTCTATGGTGCTGTTAGCTCTCTCTAATATCAGCTAAGGCTATATTTAGTAGAAACTATTTTCTTTTACTATTGAAACATAATGATGACAGCATATATTAGAGGGAAAGTCCTTACAATTTTCTCTCTTGTACCAATGATGGAGTTGCAAAGTATTAAAGATAATTTGCCATTTATTGTGGATGGGACACCTGATCCAATGTTCAGTCAGTAATATTATTTAATTTGGCAAAAATTAACTGGAGTGTTTAGAATGTTTCTCCTCCTTGTCAGTTGTTTAGAGATGACAGTTTTAATATAATAGACTCATTTTGGTTTATTCTATTTTTTCTTTCCTTTCAATTTTTATTTTAGATTCAGGAGGTACATGTGCAGGTTGTGCAGGTTTGTCACCTAGGTGTATTGCATGATACTGAGGTTTTGGGTCCAGTTGATCCCATCACCCAGGTACTGAACATAGTACCCAATAGCTGGTTTTTCAACCCTCATCTCTCTTCCTTCCTCCCCTATCTAGTAGTCTTCAGTGTCTACTGTTCCCATCTTTACGTCCATGAGTACCCAATATTTAGCTCCCACTTATAAGTGAGAACGTGCAGTCTTTGGTTTTATTTTCTTGCATTAATTCACTTAGGATAATGGTCTCCAGCTGCGTTCATGTTGCCTCAAAGAACAATATTTCATTCATTTTTATGGCTGTGTTTTATTCCATGGTTTCTATGTGCCACATTTTCTTCATCCAGTCCACTGTTGAGGAGCACCTAGGTTGATTCCATGGCTTTGCTGTGAACAGTGCTGCGATGAACACATGATTGCTTTTTGGTGGAAGAATTTATTTTCTTTTGGATATGTATCCTGTAATGGGATTGCTGGGTCAAATAACAGTTTTAAGTTCTTTGAGAAATCTCCAAACTGCTTTCCACAGTGGCTAAACTCATATTACCACTAGCAGTGTATAAACATTCCCTTTTTTCCACAACCTCACCAGCATTTGTTGGTTTTCGACTTTTTAATAATAGCCATTCTGATTGATGTGAGATGGTATCTCATTTTGGTTTTAATTTGCATTTCTCTAGTGATTAGCAACGTTGTGCATTTTTTTGTATGTTTGTTGGCCACTTGTATGTCTTCTTTTGAGAAGTGTCTGTTCACCCATTTTGATATCTTGAACATTTCAATTTGTATAATTACTTGGTGAGAATAGACTATTAACTTGTTTTTGTAAAACTGTTCAAAAAAACTTATGGTGCAAACTATTTGCATTCAGACATCAAATTATTTTGATTTCTAGTTGTTGCTTTCTTAATATTGGAACATGGTAAACTCTAGATGGAAAAGAACAAATTTAGAACAAATTTTATTTTCTAAAAATGCATAAATTCTCTTCTTACTCTTCTCCCTCCTCTCTATTTTTCATTTGGAAATGGTTTTGGTGAAGTTTGTTTCAAATTATAGATTTCTGGATTTCCAACATTCATAATTTATGGAAGAAATAGATGCCTCATCACATAAATTAACTTTATCCTGACTCATCTGTGTCCTAATATGATTGTTGGTTTGTTAATAAGACTTTTTAATATCCTCATTAATTTATGTGTTCAATGTTTATTCCTTAAGCATTTATTGGTTGTACCGAAGGCACAAAACAATGTGTAAGGCCCTGAATGTGCTGTATAGTATAATTCAATCTCATTTCTTTCCTCAAAAAGTTTGTTTTCTAGTAGAAGAGTTGAGTTATGCACTAATAATATAATTTAAGGTCCAAACAGTTTTTTTTTATAAATAAAACAAACTTTAGAGAGGAGCATATGCCATGGAAATTCAATTAGATAACATTAGATTGTGATACCAATGTTATGACTTGTGCTCTCACTATTTGCTTTTCAATGAATGTGTTACCTGAGTCACTTTTCCATTCAATTATATTATTTTTAGAAAAACTTATTTTATTAAAATAATTATGAATATTGAATTAATGTAAATGTATTGTTATTAGCAAATGTAAGCTATACTGTTTACTGCAGGATATATCTAACATTAGCTATCCTTAATCTCTGCTTAATTTAACTTGATTTCTTTAAACTCAGACTTTAATAGAACATAA
The DNA here is from genome assembly GCF_000001405.40 of Homo sapiens. NCBI lineage: Eukaryota > Metazoa > Chordata > Mammalia > Primates > Hominidae > Homo > Homo sapiens. The sequence continues at coordinate 80,038,524 of NC_000004.12, read as the reverse complement.
ATTGTTGAATCATCCTGAACCTCTTCTTTAAAATTAAAATACCTTATAGGGGATATACAGGGCCTGGCTCCAAAGATGTAGATCACCAGCAGTCCTGGAGGGTGTTTGTTCTTCAGCCTTAAAGAGATCTCCTTAGGAGAATTGCTTATTTGATATTGCTATTGGAATTCTCATTTATTTAGAAATGTTTTGATGGATTGGATCAAATTAAAAGACCAAGTCAACATATGCACAATTATCTTAAATATTATGAAATCTGATTGACTTATGGTCAGTGCTGATAGAAGAGAGAAAACAAATATAAAGTTACAAATTCACTGAAGTCATTCCGGATGCATGTTTTTTGACATGATCTTTAGAAAATCCTTTTGTAATTTTTTGATTTACTTTATTCTGAGGAATTGCAGAGAAATGGTTTCTATTGCCAATAGATGTAATCTTTAAGTGCCTCATAATTTTCCTGAGTACTTGAAATATTTTTTCAGTAATACTGATAAAGCTGTGGCTAAATAACTAAAGAGATTATAAACTGAAAGATGCAATTAGTCTCCTTAATAAGATCTGTTTTAAGATAAATTCCTTCAGGACTGATGACAGACAAAATAGATTTGGGGGTTTTGTGTTTTCCTTTAACCTTCCATTTTGATGGTTCACTGTTGTCACTGTTATCTCAGATTGGCCAAAGCTATAGCTATAATGTCCATTTTTGTTAGTTGGAACCTTTTCAGCTTCATATTCCTTTGCAAATCTTTTCTATTCTATTTCCTTCAGAGTCTTGTTATCTGAATTATGTCCAAATTTTTAAAGATGTTAGTGATTTGAAATACTACCCTTCCAAGAGGGCACATTAACCTTTAACAAGAGTTCTTAATTCTTGAATCCATAAAAGTGAATGTTGGTTATTGTAGATAAAGTAGCAGACCAAGAGGAGGTATTTGGGTGCAGAAAGGTCTTTGAGTGCCTATGGAATCTCTTTGGTCATTTCTGGATTTAAATGGGCCTCATCTGCAGTTTCTCAGATATAAAATTTTACGAGGTTTGTTTTCTAATCACAAAATCCTCAATCACTATGTGAAAAGTTGAGTTTATTGGAAAGTTATCTTAAAAAGTACAAATTTTCCCTCTTTTCAGAGATGTATATTCAGCAACAAAGTTCCATGATTTGACACAGTTGATTTTAGGGGCTGAGAACTTATAGTTTTGCTGTTATTAAAGAAAGCACAGAAAGCATGTCTATTTCCTGCTACAGTCCTTACTTCCTATTCTAGTTATGAAAAGGAGATGCTAGAAACTGCTGTAAATAATCTGTCTTCAACTTCTGCCAAGAAAGGAATGTCAAGAAAGGAATTCTGGAGATCATCTGGAATTTGTCTGACTGATAATATAGTGCAGAGCAGTTCTAAAAATAAAGACAGGATTGTTGTCCATGAGGAGCAGCGTATTTCATCATTGTTTTTCAGTTGTAGCCTTGTCCCTTGTGTGGTGGTTTCTGTTTCTCAGAACAAGCTAAGAAGAGCAGTTCTGTTCCTGTGTTCTGGGAATGCTTGAGTATGGAGTCTGTGTTTTTAAAAAGAATATTGGCTCATATAAGGAGTCTATGTTCTGCAATTGTAATTTTTTATGCAAGTAAGAGGGACTAGCACCCACAGGAATTAAGCCTGAGAAATGGGATAGAAATGCCACTGTCCAATAAAGAGAAGTGCTTTTTAATTTTAATTTTAATTTATTTATTTGTTTGAGACGGAGGCTTGCTCTGTCGTCCAGGCTGGAGTGAAGTGGCATGACCTTGGCTCATTGCTGTGTTAAAGCGATTCTCCTGCCTCAGCCTCCCGAGTAGCTGGGATTACAGGCGCGAGCCACCATACCTGGCTCATTTTTTGTATTTTTAGTAGAGACAGGATTCACTATGTTGGCCAGGCTGGTCTTGAACTCCTGACCCCAAGTGATCCCTCTGCCTCGGCCTCCCAAACGGCTGCGATTATAGGCATGAGCCACTGTGCACAGTCAGAAGTGCTTTTTTATTGATATTATTTTGAACCACCGCACCCAGTCAGCAGTGCTTTTTTATTGATATTATATTGGTCTTCTGAACAGAAAACATAACAGCATTACTAAACAGGGGGTCTGATTTGTTATCTTGTTTTTGCTTGATTGGGAAAGTCAACATAGATTTTATGGCAGCAGGAAATTTTAGTTATCTATTCATACCCAAGGTTATCAGACTTTGAGACAATGCTCACTTTTCCTGTGCTTATCTGAATTTACTTTAATCAAATAAGGATCCTACAGTACATAATCTTAAAATATACCCTGAAATACAGTGCAGAAGTTTCCTAAGAACTTGGTAGCTGTACACGCTATAGTTAATAGATTTTCTCTGAGATCTATTGAAGTATGGAGAAGACCTCAAGGTTATTACTAATCTTATAATTTACTTCACATTGTAATTTTAGATCTATAGCTTGGTAATCTTTTTTTTTTTTCTTTTTTAGATACTAGCTCAGTCATGTACTGAAATCCTAGAATTGCAGCCCTCAAGTGTCTGTGTGGGGGGTAAGTGTTTAGAATTTAAAAATACCATGTAAGAAATTGTATTTTTTTCCTAGCTAAAATATATGATATGAAACTCATGTTGGAAAAAGAATAGCAAAATTAACTTTTTTGGCATCTTTTTTGTGTAAGAATTTTTAAATAATTCCTTGAAATATTTCTATTTTAAATTCAAATTTTTAAGATTGGAATGTTATTTTAAATAATGAGCATATTGTGTGACAGGCTTTTAGAATCTTCTGTATATTTAGTTCACGCTTGAGACCTTTCCTATGGCAAATAAAATAAAATATGAAATTGTTTCTTTTGTCTGATTATACAAACAGTCAGGTATATGTAGACTTTGAGCTCCATGCTTTGATGACCTGGACAAAGTACAGAATCTGCCAGCTCAGGGCACATAAGGAAGTGACTTATGGACGGATTGCAGGAAGGAAGCAGGTGGCTTTATCAGCTGGTGCTAAGCACATACTCAGGTTTTCACACCTCCCAGCCATCCTTGCCCAGACAGAGTGTGATTCTCTCTGGCCTATTTTGTTTCTTTTTCAAGCCTGACCTACAGTTCATTTTAACCTGACTTTACTTTAAAAAGGAAAAATATTGGGTCTGGTGGGGGAGAAAATATGTTGTGTAATGTACCATAGAGCCTCTCAGCCAGTTGTGCATGGTCTCACATTCTGCATCTTCTAGATTCCCTAATGAATGAATATGGAGATGTTTAAGGAAAGTAGTGCATCTGAACTTCCCAGGGAAGGATTATCTTCCCTAACAGTGAAGGTTAATACATTTCTAGAGATAACAAAGAAAAATAAATGGAAAAATAATATTAAAATAGTAGCTGTTGTTTATTAAACTCCAATTTTGTGCTGAGGGTATACTGGGTTGTTTGCATTTATAATTTTACCTAATCCTTATAACAACACTATTGAAAGTTTTATACATCCCTGGTTTACAGATGGGGAAGCTGAGGCAGAGACAGGTTCAGTACTTGCTACTAGTAATTACCCTGTTTGACCCTTTCCTGTCTGACTTGAATGCCCATACTCTTACCGAATCACATTTTACCTGCACTTTATTTTAACTTGCAAGTGAAATTCCTTTCATAACATAGTAAATGAAAAGTGGGTTGGCAGTAGTTTCTTGCATAGTTAATGACTATATTATACTTGTATTATGTTAGATATGAGAAGTTTTAGAGGACTGGTAATGTTAAATTAAAATAGAGAACAGGCCTGAAGAAGCCTTAAGCAGGCAAAAACACTTAGGCCTCGTAAGTAGCCTTAACCTTATTTGATTTACAAATATAATTGGAATTTAATTTGAACTATTTATTGTCAATGCCTACATTAAGAAAAATAGAATTTAAGTGCAACCAATCAAAAACAACCAACAAACTTATATAACTAGGGACTTTCCACAGGATAGACCAAACAAGGCAACTGTGTAACTATAACCCGTCAAATACTTTCTTTGGTTTACTTCCACGTTGGTTCTATAAAAGCCTCCCCCTTGTATTCCCTTGGTAAAGCTGCCAAACCTCTTCTGATTTGGATCTGTCTAATTCAAGAATCTTCTGCTCAAATAAACTATTTAAAATTTTATTTGTGCTTCAATTTACCTTTTAAATAAGCGTTAATCACTATTAAAATAGTTAGTATACTATCTTGCAGCTTAGCAGTAAACATGCATTGTCTGTCAAGATATTTGATCAGTTAACTTTCATTCCAGCCTATTCTCTCACTCTCTAACAAGTTTTAGTGCTTGCTTCTACTATAAATAATGGTACAATAAGTTAAATCAACTTTTGTGACTGGCCATCGATTATTAGTAATTCAAAATACGTGATCTTTTGATTATTTATAGGTTTGAAATAGAAAATGAATCAGGATTAGTAAGGTGAAGAAGTGGTTAAAGAAGAATTCTGTATGGAACAGGCATAGATTAAAGAAAGTACTACATACGACTTTTCGAAGAACTAAAAAACGTACATAATTAGTTTTATTTACATTCCCAAACTTTAATACCTGAGAGTAGGGAAAAACAAAGTTTTTTCCCCCTGGTATTTTCCTAAGGATAGAAGTTGAGGAGGTTTGTATAGTATCTGTCTGGGAATGACTGTTAATGCTTCTGTTCTATACCTTGGTCACTACTGGGAATCACTTTGTTTAGAAAATAAAATAATGCATCCCCATGTGGCAGTGAATGGTATCTTCACTACATTTACCTAGAGGGTCTGGGAAAGCCAGCACAGTTGGAAATATAGAGCTATGTCTTCATTGCTATTAGTTAACTGAATAGTATGAAAAAAATTATTCTTTGCACCTTAATACTTTCATTTCAGCTTGTGTTTTTTATTTTTTTGGTAAAGCAGTGATTAAATGTTTATTTTTCCTTTTACTTCTAGAGGAATTTCAGATTGTCTTAAGTGGAAGAGGATTCATGCTGGGCAGTCGGAATGGCAGTGTTCTCTGCACTTACACTGTAAATGAAACATATACAACGAGTAGGTCCCCAGTAATCTCAGTGTTGTCTTAATCTCTGCAAAGCACATCAGCATCAAATGTTTTCTTTTTTTCTCCAACGAAAACTAACTGACATATTTTTTAATCTAAGAAGAAAGAAATGAAGTCTGAATGATAATACAAATAGTAGTGATAATTATTTAATAGTTATTTAATAATGGCAACATTTGTTTATAACTTAATAAATGCTGGACCCTGTCCTAACTTCCCTCATTGAACAGATGATGGTTTGTGGCTAAAAGAATGAAATTACTTGCATGTGGTTACACAGCTAATAATGGACAGAGCTGATATTTGAACCCACTTTTCCTGACTGTACTCTGTACCTACTACATCAAACACATGATTTAATTGCTTCTTTCCTCAGGCTTCTTTCTTGTCACACCTGCCTTAAAATCTAATTATCTTCAGCTTCTCTCCTACTTGTTCCTTTTTTTCTTTCTTTTTTTTTGTCACTTGTTTTCTTTATCTAATTTCCCAATAATTTGTTAATTTATTGAAGATAGTCTTTTTTTGCCTTATAGATTTTTGCATCTCAAATTCTCACCCAGCATAGTTTTGGTTGATAATTTTCGTATTTATTGAATTGAGTTTTAATTTTCCCTACCTTTGACTTTTAAAAAAGCCAAGAGTACGTTTTTGTTTTCATTCTGAAAAAACCCTCCCTCTTAAATAGACCTTAGTTTTCTGAGCATCTTGAGTATCTATATAAATGTTTTTCCTTATTAATTATTATTTGCCCTTCAAAATTTATATTGTAAAGCAGATTTTATAACTTTGTAAACTCTGGTAGAGTTATTTTTTTAGATTCATCTGCCATTTTGCTGTTTATCTGAGTATAAACACTCCAATTAACACAGCTTTGGCCATACACACAGTACCTATTCAATATGTGTTTATTGAATTAAAATGGTAAGGATCTTAGCATGCTAAATGTCATAATTAATTCCTCTCTTTTCTATTAAGATCACAATTTTAGTAAGGCAAAAATTTACAAACTCTCTTCATAGTAGGTTCCACAATTGAGTAGGACAAGATAATTTTATTTTTATTCAGTAGTCATTTGTATCTAAGCATTAGCTTCACCTAGCTCCTTTTGATTACATATTTGAGTTCATTATAAAATAAACGTATTTCATGTTTAGCTACATAAGATTAGGTTTATTAAAGTAAATCCTCAAATAAGTGAAATTGGTATTTTCCTCTTTTAGATTCTAGAATGATCAGTTTGACTAAGTAACTTTTCTGCATATTTTAGTCTAAATCATTTTTTTCATATTTTATTAAAGTTACAAGGGCGATTTAAGTATGTGACTTCATAAAATGCATTTATTTATTGTAGACAAATGTTTTATTAAACTTGTGAAATAAGTTCATTTTCCTTTGGACATCTAACTTTCACCTTCCTTCATCTTTTCTAAAGTGTGCTTTTAAAATAATACGGAGCATTTGTTTTTAAAAATCTGAGATATTTAAAAAATTTAAGAGAAAATATATTTTATAGTATCTAGAATGGTATGTGAACTTAGTCTAAGTCAAAATAATCCTAACTTATGATTTACCAACACTATATGTCAATGGAGCATATAATCTCTTTCCATTTTTCATTCCCTTTCACTTCTCTTTCTTTAGTTTTTTTATGTTAATATATCTAGTATTCCACATTTGAACTCTGATTGAAGCATGCTGTTCATATTATTAATGAAACTGTGTGAGATGCATAAAACCCTTTACTAATTCAGTGGCATTTTATTTTCTAGGTGTAAAACCAGTAAGTGTACAGCTTAATTCTATGCTTTGTCCTGCACCTATCCTGAATAAAGCTGGAGAGTAAGTACTTAATTTAAAACAATTTTATAACATTTTTAGTAAAAAATTATTAGAAAATGGTGACATATACATTGGTCATTTTATTCTATCTTTTTTTGATATACAGAGCATTAAAAAGTAAGCCTTGGGCAAGCCACTTAACTTAGTACTAGGCAAGCAAGTTAGTACTTCAGCTATACTCTTAGTAGGTTGAAAATGCTAAAAAGTGTTTTAGCTAGTTTCTTCAATACTGATTAAAAGGCTCTATGAATATTTATCTGGATGGGTTTGAGAACTATTATTAGAATCTATAAATAATCAGAGCCATAAACATTATTTTAAACACACACACATGCACACGCACACACATGTGTGTGCATGCACACACCCAGTTCAAAAGTGAGATTTTCAATAATTACTATAGTATTTAATAAATATTGCGATTAAAGTGCCTCAAGAACATGGCTAAAAAAAGGCACACCTTGCACTAGGAAATACTTGTACATTTGTATTAACTTGTGCTTTGTGTTCCATTTCTGTTAAGGTCTATCTTTTCATCTTCTTTTGTGTGGCCAAAAAACCACGATATCTGCTAAAAAGAAAAATAAATTTAGTTTGGATGAAGGAGTCTTATTTGAATTGTTTATACACAAGTAATTCTACTGATAATTTAGTGTTCCCATTTGTGATTTTTTTCAGTTCTATGATGAAGCAAATGATTACAAATAGTTCAGATATTCTCTAGCCCAACAGTAGAGCATGTTTAAGATAGTTAATAGGATACAGTTTTCTAGGATCTCTTTATATAGATCTGATACTGAAAGCAGGGAAAAATTACATATACAAGGCCACAATCCAAAATCTGGATTAGTATTTAGAGACTGAAAATGATATTTTCCTCTATGAAACTAAGAAAATCATTCTAGCATTTTTAAGCTGACTTGAACATTTATCTTTTGTGGATACTTAAATATTCAAGATATCTATCGCACATCACTTTTGGTCATGCAAGTAAATTGGAGCAGTATCAGCTTTCTGTTTTAAATAGATTCAAAGAAGCTGCACAAGATGGCTTACAAAACTAAGAGTATTATTCGTTTTCTGTATCATGTAATAATCTATGTTATTGACAACATGCCTGTGGCTAAATTAAATTGGCATTGGAATTTGAGGCAAGTCAGTTTCTTGTGGAGCCATCTTAACCCCAAGCACACCGTAGGACTCAAGGCTTTCTGAATAATCGTGTCTGTATTAGCCATGATACATCTATTGACTTAAAGTTTAGTCTTGTTTTAGTGAATCTGTAATTCCAGGTTGGTCCTCCTGAATATTCCCCCAATCTATCTCCCAAACTGTATTTTCCATTTTAGTTATTGGCAGCTCCATCATTTTTGTTGTTCAGGTAAAAATCTTTTGAGTCATTATTGATTTCTTTCTCTCTCTTAGACCCAGTCTATCAACAAATCTTAGCTCTAATTTCAAAATTTATCCAAAATCCAATCTCTGCTTTCTACCTATACTGCTACCATTCTAGACCAAGTTACTGCCATCTCTTGCTTGGATTATTAGTCTCTCAACTGGTCTTTCTGTTTCCATCCTTCACAAGAGTGATCTTGTTAAAACAGATTATTTTATGTCATCTCTTCACTTAAGATTCTCTGTGATGAGTTCTTTACCCCACTCAGAGTAAAGTCTAATTAGTGTAATACTGTACCAGGTTCTACAGGGTCTGGCCTCTCATTCCCTCTCAGACTTCATCTTCTATTTGCTCTTTCTACTCAGTTATGGTCACACTGGCCTCTTTGCTGTTCTTGACCACACCTGCACACTCCTGCACCTGCACTTTTATACTTCTTGTTGCCTCTGCTTGGATTGCTCTTCCCCTGATGTAGAACTGTATGTGAACTTAGTCTAAGTAAAACAAAACAAATCCTAACTTACCCTATTTAATCATGCAATCTTCCTCTTTGAGTCTGTAACCTGTATACCTTTTTCATGTTTTATTTTTTCTCCAAAGCCAATTGTTTGTCTGTTATTATGTTTCTACTTCCTGCTAGGACACGTTTTGTCTTGTTTCTTGTTGTATTACTAGCACTTAACACAATGTCTGACTCATAGTAGATTTACTAAATGTTTGGTGGATAAAAGGATGAATGAATTTTTCTTAAATATTTTTGTTTACCAGTTAACATAACGATCTGAAAGAGGTCATTTGATTGGTGGGATCAGGTACTTGTACCAGGATAGAGGAAAATGGTCAGAATTTTATTTTGGGGGGCCATACTATTTAAAGCAGAAAAAAAAAATCTTGGCTTTCAAATAATAGTGACTAGTTAAAGAAAGTAATTTACTTTCTTCTCTGAAGTAGTTATAAAATGCATTATGCCTGTTTTATCCCAGGCACTGATTTTGTTTTCTCTAGAATTTGCCTTTGGGCACAGTCTTCTTTAGAAGAGAATACCATCGGGGCTAGTGATACACTTTAATTATTTGTAGATAGGTTAAATACCCAGGAGATACATTTTTTAATCACACATAGCATAATAAATATCAGACATGAGAAATCATCATTCATTTAGATTTTGACATTAATATTTCACCTACAAGCAAACTGAGAATGTTCTGGGACAGAGATGTGTCTAAAAGAATTGCTTTTGTCTTCCTTTCCTGGATCAGGTACATGATACCATTGAAGCAAAGCTTTAGATTTTATTTGTTAATGTACTGGGTATTTGGGGACATCATTATTTATTTTACTTAGTATGTTGCAAGTAATTTGGACCTTTCCTGTGCCTTGAATTTTCTTCAGACACTTTTGTAGGTGATGAGCTCTCTTATGAGATTGGATTGAAATCAACACAATTGAAACAGTTTAGCCTTGTAAGGTGACTGATGCTTAATATGTTTGCCTAATTAGCTTTTGGCTAAGGATTCAAACCCATTAAGTAGCTAGTTAGTCTATGTTTCAGATAAACACATCTGGCCCAACAATGAATGAAGGTTTTTCCTGTGTGAGGGTGACAGATGTGGTGATAGTTCCCCTCATTCTCTCACTTAAATAATTAACAACATGCTGGTGAAGTAACCCTAGACAGAGAGCCTCAAAGCCAGATGCACAGTCTCAGAGCTGCATCCATGGGCATGTGCCTCATCTCATTAGCCTGCTCTATCCGTTCTTTTCTTATCTTTATGTTATTTCATGAATTTCACTTTGTTTGAGGATTATTCTTTTAAAAACTTAAGGCCTGTGGATTTTGGTTTAAAAGAGCATGTGGGAGATGGGGGAGTAAGAATGTAGCCGAGTAGCTAGGACATAGGTCGTCATTTGGAATTTGATGTTATGGAGTAAAGGAAAGTTAAAGTTATCTGGGCAAATCCTGTCCAGGTATATCATTTTGAGCATTGTTCAGATGGGTCTTTCAATAACTTTTTTTGATAGATCTGTCTGATACAGAGATCTGTATTTATTAAATTTCTTTATTTGATATAGATTTTTAGGCTAAGATGAACAAACTCTTATTATTTAAACAGAAAGAATGGTCATAGTAGTGAGGTTGTTTTCTATTTTTTTGGATGAACACGGTTTACTTTTAAAATGGTGTATGATTAAACAAACTGTTTTACCAAGAAAAATCTGCCTATTATTTAGAAATTTATTTCTAAAAGTGGTTCCTTTGTGCCAAATTGTCTTCTTTAAGTTTGAATAGGATGCATTCTCTGATGTTCTTTGGATGTTCCCTAATCCAGGGCACTAGCCTCACAGTTTAATGTGCAAGTATTACAAGTATTTGCAACGTGGGCTTATTCTATGACCCTTGTTTTGTGAGACATCAACAATAGCACAGCTGTTCTGCAATAGTTGAGATCTCAAACCTGTAATTTGGCAAGAAGAACAGAGCAAATTGGGTAAATATACATAAACACATTGTGAAGAAAGAAAAACAGAACAGAATGAACCGGAGTCTTATCCTACAGTTTTTTTGATAGAGATGATTTAAGGAGGCATATGGTATAGTTAAATGTGCTTTCAAAAACATTGGCCAGAATCTTCTGGCAAATATGAAATAAATATCTAAATCAGATGAAACTGATAGTATTAGTTCTCTTAAAAGGCAGTGTGGGAAGACACTTGACAGAGTGTTTTGAGAAAGAAGTGGTGGGACGTCACTGTCTGTGGAAAATTTCAAGGAAAACTGAAGGATCATTGAGATGAACAGTGTGGCAGAATTGAGGTTAGAGCCTGGCTTCATAATAGAATCTTTTTATTTTCTTCAACTTTTTTTTTCAGTATTAAGCCTAATCTATTTTTCCTGGAATAAAATTGATTAATTCTATTTCTCTTTCTTGATTAGATAAATTCTGCCTTTACTACAGTTTCTGTTCTTTCCAAAAGTATACTTCTATCTGTATGTGTGTGTATGTCTATAGAATCCCTAATTCTCTTATGTTAGTAGCAGGTGATACAACCACAACATTATTCCTTTTGCTTCTTGTGAGGAATGAGATTTTATTTTTTGGAAAAATCATGGATATTAAGACATTAGTTATGTCTTTATTTGAATATGAACATTAGAATCATGATGATATGGGTTAAAGCTAAGGGCTTTCTCTGTTTCTCTACCCCACACTTCCTTGGTGGAACATTTCTCTTTTCCTTCACATGGTGCACTGTTTTCAAATTATATCTATCAATGTGATAAGTTCACCTCATCTGCATTGCCTCTTCATCCTAAGTATTATATACGGTTCTGGCAATGTCTTTTAACACATGAACACCTGGAGGGGTGGCTAATAAGATGTCACCATGTATGGGAATGTTAAATAGGATACAATTTAAAATACTGAAAAAAATACTATTCAGATGTGATGCATTAACTCTCCAAACATTGGAAGATCTGTCACATGACAGACAGATTTGAATTGTTCTTTATTGCTATAGGAGAAAAAGGGTGAAGTTAAGGGGAAGCACATTTCAGATCAATATAAGGAAATACTTTCTAAAATTTAGAATTATTTAGTAGATAATTCTACTAAATTATTTAGTAGATAATTATTTGGACAATGAAAAGTATTTAAAGATGGACACCTATATGAGGATGTAGAGAATATTCTTGAAATAGGTACTTAAATCCTCTTATATATCTGCTTCTAAATTTTATATTATCAAAGCTTTTCATTATTACTAAATGTATTAGTCCGTTCTCACACTGCTATAAAGAACTGCCGAGACTGGGTAATTTATCAAGGAAAGAAGTTTAATTGACTCACAGTTTTACATGACTGGGGAAGCCTCAGGAAACTTAGTCATGGCAGAAGGCTAAGGGGGAGCAAAGACCTTCACATGGTGGCAGGAGAGAGAAGTGCAAGCCCAGGAAAAATGGCCACTTTTAAAACCATCAGATCTCGTGAGATTCACTCACCATCATGAGAACAGGATGGGGGAAACCATCCCCATAACCCATTCACCTCTTATCAGGATCCTCCCTTTACACGGGGGGATTACAATTCAAGAATGAGATTTGGGTGGAGACACACAGCAAAACCATATCACTAAGACTCTTTAAAGTTTTGGATGAAAGGCACTCAATTTGATTGATTTAGGCACTAAATTGACTTGGTGATTGTTTTTTAAGTGTCTTTTTAGAATGTTATTAAAAAACACACAGCAAATGGAAAGTGCTTATTTTTAGTGCAATACTCAGAACAATTATAATACAGCTTTCCTGTGATGTCCAGTAAATCTCTGAATATAGCTCTTTTTCCTTCTGAAATGTAGACATCTTGCTAACTGCAATTTTTGTTTTATCTATTACACATATTGAGATATGCTAAAAATAAGTCATTTAATTCAAAAATCTTTTAGCCACTTTTAAGAAAGTATCCTTAGTCAAAACATTAATTTACATATAAACTAATTACTAGAAGTGGTACCTTTAAACTATTCATGAATATGGAATCTTATCTTCCAACTTAAAATCTTTATCATTCATAAAACTATCTTTTAAAAAGCACTGCAGAACATTAAATAGTATCACTTGATTTCAAAATATCTTAAGTCACCATAATTGTAATAACTTTTTGAGTAGCTGCCAGTTTAATTTTCAGTATGTGCAAATTGAAGGTAAATTATTTATTACTTCCAGCAAATGTCTTTCACAATTTTATTTAATTTTTTCATCCTTTTTAATGGATCATAAAATGACAATCTTTTATTGGATATATATAAAGTCAGAAGCAAATGAATACTTTGCAAATATGTTACTGTGGATTGAAATGTCAATCATAATTCATGGAGTATAACATTTCTTAGATCAGAATAGCTATGACATATGGCACTGAGCCATTCTCCTGTTTTGGAAGAGTCATGCATCTTTAGACATTAAATAGAAGTATGTGACTATTAGGACTTAGTGAGTTTTATTTACTAAATTGTGTATCATAGTACTATTTAATAATTTCTCATGTGGAATGACTTTACTATGTTTGAATTTAATTTTATTACTATTAATTGTCAGTTGACATGAAAGTACACTTCAATCAATCTTTTTGTTACATTAAGTTGTTAAGCTTTCTTCTATCCTTCTACTTTGAAAAAACATATTTTAATGATGGAGCAAAGCATGGATTAAGATATTTGTTAAGAAATATTAAACAGTGTAGAACCAATTTATAGAAAATTAAGTTGAAAGTGTTGCCATTTCCCAGCATTATCTTCCCTTACCTCCCTGTATTATCTGCACAAGGTGCCACTCTTGTCTCAGAAGGTTTTCCCTTGTCTTTTGTGACTTCATATTCTCACCCTAGCTGTTTCTCCCCTTTCTCCTCAGATATCCCTTTAGACTACTTTTGTTTTTACAGTCTCTTAACTGTCAGTTTTTTCTTTTTGAGGTGGGGTCTCACTGTCACCCAGGCTGGAGTGAAGTGGCATGATCTGACTCACTGTACTTTTGGCCTTTCTGGCTCAGGTGATCCTCCTACTTCAGCCTCCTGAGTAGCTGGGGCTACAGGCATGTACCACCACACCCTGCTAATTTTCTGTACATTTTGTATAGACAGGGTTTCACCATGTTTCCCAGGCTGGTCTCAAACTCCTGGGCTCAAGCCAACCACCCGCCTTGGCCTCCCAAAGTGTTGGGATTACAGGCATGAGCCACAGTGTCCAGTGCCCCTCAGTTTTTATCATGGTTGGAGGATACTTGACTTATAAACTCACCCTTTCTATGGCTCCCTTTTTCTTCCTGATGAGCTCCAAATTTCCTGGCAAGATCTTTTTACTAGCTTTAAGTCTGCTGTCCAAATGCCTCCTATCCAAATGTCTACAAAGTCACTTGGATTTTCTACAGGCACCTTAAACTTGGAGGTCCCAAATTAAACTCACATCCTTCTGTTCAAACTTGCTCCTTCTGTGTTCCCTATGCAAGACTGCCCACCTACTTGTGTAAGACAGAAACTTTGAGGTCATCCTTTTTTCTTCTTCCTCACCTCCTACATCCAATAAATGTCCATGTCCTTTTTATTCTAACTCCTAATATGTCTCAGTTTTTGTTTTCACACTAACCTCATTGCCACTATTTTAGTTCAATTCTACTTTGGTACTTATTTCAAGTACACTGAGACTTTCTTAACTGGTCTTTCTACTTTTGAAATTTATTCTTCAGACCCCTGCCTTACACTGTAACAAGAATGATATTTGTAAAACACATTTCTAACTATATTTCTATCAAACTTAAAACTCTTAAGACGAATTCCAGATGTCTAAAGATGGCATCCAGGGACTCAATGATCTTTTCTCTGCTCCCCTTTTCAACCTGGAGCCATTTCATTCTTACTCTCACCCTCTTTTGTTGCTGGAGTACTGAATCACTTTTACTGCCTTGACTGTTCTGTCCCTGTCCCTTTCTTGCCTTCCACCCTGTCGGAGTGCTCCATCTGCATGGACTCCTTTCTAATCTCATTTCCTAACTTCTGATCATTCTTTAAGCTTCATCCTGTAGTCGACTTCCTGCAGGAAAACTTTGCTAATGCCTCTATGCCAAGGCCAAGTCTGTTGAATCTCCCACACAGCCCTCTAGAACCCCTGTGCCTAAACCTATTTAATATCGCATTCTTTTGTAATTGTTTACGGGGCTTCCTTTTATTTACATTGTAATTTGTATTATTTGTTACTGCAGCCATTTTACCAAGTACAGCCCAATTATCATTGCTACTACAATCAATTAATAAATACTCATTTAATTAACTAGTAATAAAATAAGTGACTGATTGAGTGATTTTATTGGCAGATATTCCTAAACCAATTTGGAGTGTGATTTTAGGCCTGAGGTTTAAGCACAGAGCTCAACATAGCTATAATGTTGGATTTAATCAAGGTCATGTTTTATAACAGGAAGAATATGGCATTGAAAAAATTTTTTACATGAAACTGCCTGACATTATATAGTAGGCATTTTTTGAACAATTTAGCTTACAATATTTTTATATGGCAGTGAGCAGAATAGAAATTAATTAAATTAAACAAAAGGTATTACATAATGATTTTATTGCTTCTATATACATTTCTTCTTAGCTTGGATCTAAAAGGTTTATTAAAAAGTACCTTGATATTCTAAATAATCCATTAGACAAATATTCAGGTGTTAACGGTAATTTATGGAGTACCTGTTGTGTCCCAGGTATTGTGTTGTATATTTTATGTATATTATTTTACCAAGCTCTGTTCCTTAAAACAACTTTGAAATAGGTACAGTTATCCCCATTTTACAGATTGAGAAATGGAAGATTAAAAATGGAGTGATGAGGGTTCAAACTCAGGACTCCAGTTTCGCCCAAATGCCCTTTTTCAATATTATTAGATCCTTGGGGCAAATAAAAATGAACTGCTCTCTTGCTTCCCATATATGTTTGCAACTAAGTAAACACAATGTTGTTTTAATACATTTTTGCCCATAAGAAAGCCTCTGTTACTGAGCGTATGGCTTCCACTGTCAGAAACATACTAACTAGAAGTAGAAGTTATGTAGGAGTAGGAATAACAATCCATAGATGCTAACAGAAATGACATAAAATATGACAGAAAACACTAAATATGTATAGTTGACTCTTGAGGCAAGGAAAGCTTACCGAATTTGGTTTGCATTACAGTGGGCGGTTTTCTCAACCTATGCCAGAAAAGGAGTAGCATAGCTTTGGGCAAAGGCTCTAGCTTAATGATGGTGCCAGTACCATACCAATAATTTCAAAAATGTTTTTCTAAAGAAGCAGCAAAGTTTAAAAGCAGATGTAACTGTGTTTTTCATATTTGCAACTTTTCTGAAAAATTTTCACAGAATACATATATCTATACACACATATTCATAAATATATATATTCACAAGTAAATATATTGCTTTAGCATATAGTAAATGCCATTCTAGTTAACCATGAGAAATATGTGAATGTAGTAAAAAGCTAGAAGATTCAAATGAAACTCATACTAATGAGAGAAATTTAAATATAAGATGCTAAAATACATGTGGAGGATTAAAGTAGTATGTTGTAGAAGTGAAAGCATTTTGAGTACAGAGTCAGTGAAGTCCAATATTTGGACAAGTTACCTTTATAAGCTTGTTTCTTCATGGGCAAAATGGAGATGATGCTAGTGCTGACCTCAGTAGGTTGTTGTGAGAATTAAATGAGAAGATGAATTAATGTGTCTGGTTCTTAGTAAGAAATCAACAATTGCCTGTAATTATGAGTGGTGTTTATGGTTACATTTTGATCACGCTGCTACTACTACTCTCAAAAGGAGGAAGATATTCTTGTTTCAGTTCCATACATCATATATCATCAAGTGGATTTCTATATCTGCGGAGAATTAACTCAGTTTTTGTTTTTTTTTTACACCAGCCACATTATACTAGAATGAGATTTTCGGAGAATGCAGTTATTTTTGTCGGTTACAAGATCATATCAGCATGCATTTCTACCATAGGAAAGAGTAAACTTTGTTTTAAAATGACATCTTCTGTTCTCATTTCATTTTTTTAAGCATTAAAAGTTTGAATGTTTCCTTCATTAATTAGAGAACTTGTTCGTTTCTGGTGAATTTTAACTGTCAGATTATAAACAACTTCAGTCAATGTCTACTGATCCCTTAAAGTTGAATCAGTAAGATTACCTGCAAGAATCACATATTATTATGAATGAAAATTATCTTTCCAAAAAATAAAACCATGCCAACATGTCAGATGATTCAGGCCACATTCTTTAAAGTAGAGGAATTAAGAACTAGGGAAGACAATTTTTTATTTGATTATGCTTAGTCATTAAAAAAACAAAACAAGGCACCCATTTCTTCAGAATGAGCAATTAGGTTTAAGTTTTCTTTCTTAATACGCCACTTGGCCTTCTGTGTTGGAATAGTTCAGAAGTATAGTTAATTAGATGTAAACATCCGGAATTCTTATTCTCTTCTGGATTTAGCTAAACCATCTTTTTTTTTTTTTTTTTTTTTTTGAGATGGAGTCTCGCTCTGTCGCCCAGGCTGGGGGTGCAGTGGTGTGATCTCGGCTCACTGCAACCTCTGCCTCCCGGGTTCAAGTGATTCTCCAGCCTCAGCCTCCCAAGTAGCTGGGATTACAGGCACGTGCCACCATGCCCGGCTAATTTTTTTGTATTTTTAGTAGAGACGGGGTTTCACCGTGTTAGCCAGGATGGTCTCAATCTCCTGACCTCGTGATCTACCCAAAGTGCTGGGATTACAGGCGTGAGCCACTGCGCCCAGCCTAGCTAAACCATCTTTTTAAACAAGATGCTTTGAAGTAAATACTTTACACAGAAATATTTTAATAGAAGTATTTCTATATTTTGATTGAATTTAGCTTGAACTTTGCCAGGAATATCCTTCCCAGTAGCTTTCTTGTATGAATCCAAACCAAATAGCACATTGAGAAAAAAAACACATTAAGGACTTTGATTTCATCATTTAATCAAGCCTCTCTGATATGATGGAAAGAGTTCAAAGTTAGAATCCTAGCTGTATTACTTTGGGCAAAGTAATTAACATTTCTGGGCCTCCTGCCCCCCATCTGTAAAACTGTGAAACTACTATTTACTTCAAGGGCTATTGTGAAGGGTTGAAATAGATAATGCCCATAAAATGCCTAGGATAGCATCTGGCAATAGTAAGAACTGAATAATATTTCTTATCTCCCCTTTCTGTCAACAGCTTGAGATTGTTTCTGGGAGTTTGTTTTTTGTTTTTGTTTTTGCTTTTTTTTTTGACAGAGTCTCACTGTGTTGCTGAAGCTGGAGTGCAGTGGCTCAATCAGAGATGACTGCAGCCTCAACCTCCCAGGCTCAAGCGATCCTCCTGCCACAGCCTCCTGAATAGTTGGACCTATAGGCACATGCCACCATGCCCGGCTAATTATTTTTATTTTTACTTTTTGTAGAGATGGGCATCTCACTGTGTTGCCGGGGCTGGTCTCAAACTCCTGGGTTCATGCAGTCCTCCCACCTCAGCCTTCCAAAGGGCTGGGACTATAGGCGTGAGCCACCATGCCTACCCTGTGGATGGATGGCTTTGATTTGTTTGCAAACCAATTATATGATAATATCCTTTGTAAACTATTTTGGAAAAGAGCTCTTTCCATACAAACCCTCTTGTCATTTTTTTCCCTTTTGATATCTTGTTTTAGTTATTTTTATAATAAAAAATTACTAACTCTAGGCTAATCCCAAATAATCAATCTAAATTAATGAAATTTTAATGATTATTACTTGTTTTATAATTTGAAATCATATTTTCAAAATAAGAACTATATTTTAACTATAATATTTCTTAGCCAGGGACAAAAATTATTATCTCTTCTTTGTACCTTTGTCGGGATATTTTAATATCTTTGGACCATCTGCAACAAATACCTGCAAATAAATCTTTCTCCCTTTCTTTTCTTTGTTGCTGTCTTTCATATTCACTTTCTTTATATTTTATTTTTGACTGGTTTATTGCTTCCAGTTTTATATTCTTAGTAGTAATACCTAGAGACAGAGAAATAGGCTAAATGGGATCTAAAGCTTTTCTTTCTTTGTAGGTTTTTGTGAACCTGAAACAACCTTGGCATTTTTCTGGATTTAGAAATTTCTTAATGCCTGTATTTCTGTTACTACTTTGTAAAGAAACAATTAGTCCACTTAATAAGTTTGCCTGACTAATAAGTAAAGACTAGAACTAAGGAAGAAAAAAGCTGGCATAATTTACCAAAAGCTGTGACTCTTACTCTTTCCTTTTTTTTGAGACTGAGTCTCGCTGTTGTCGGCCCGGGCTGGAGTGCAATGGCATGATCTTGGCTCACTGCAACCTCCGCCTCCCAGGTTCCAGCAATTCTCCTGCCTCAGCCTCCTGAGTAGCTGAGATTACAGGGGCCCACCACCACACCTGGCTAATTTTTGTATTTTCACTAGAGATGGGGTTTCACTATGTTGGCCATGCTGGGCACGGTGGCTCATGCCTGTAATCCTAGGACTTTGGGAGGCCGAGGTGGGTGGATCATCTGAGGTCAGGAGTTTGAGACCCTTACTCTTTAAGTATGTTTTCTGGCTGGTTTTGAATTACATAAGGAAATAAAAATCTCCTACTCCTCTGGTTTTAAATGTATATAAAATTATTGTTTCTTTTCTTTTTCAGAACTCTTGATGTTTCAGTGAGCTTTAATGGAGGAAAATCTGTCATTTCAGGATCATTAATTGTCACAGCCACAGAATGTGTAAGTAAAAGTTTGCACAAAGATTATCTTTTAAAAGCAATTCCATCCAGAAATAATCTATGGATCTTTGGTGTTGTTGCATACTACAATAAAGGAGATGCAAACAATAACATTGGAGACCATTACAAGGAAAAATTTTGTATAGAATTCGTTTTGGGTGGCATTGCTTTTTTTTATGTTGAGCTCCCTTTTATAGGAACTTTAAGGTAGTATGCATTTGATTTTCATACTTATAGAATTTAAAAGGCATATTTGAAATCAAAATAAGGTAAGATAATAATTTACAAATGAAGCACTTTTTTTCTTAAAACATTAAATATAGAAATTATGTTTTCTGTTAGGAAGGTTAGATTACAGTATCTAAACATTTATCATGGTTTGAAATCAAATTATTGCATTTTAATGTGTGACTTTTTTATTTTGTTCATTTAAAATATTGGTGCTTTCTGAATGAGGAAGTTGACTTTGACAGCTTGATACTATCTTAATTTGTAACCACATCGAATATATATTTTGAGATTACTGATTTGCATTACCTAAATGCAGTATTTTGAAATATAAGCTCCATTCAGTAGACATTTTCTTCCTTTTATTTAATTTTGTGGATTTATAGAAAGTTTCAATATTATATTATTGCACGTGGAAACGGGCAGCACTAAACAGGACCAACCACATGGTTATTATTTCTAAATATATTTTGTAAAAAATATGTAAATCAAAGCAAAAAAAGAAAAATTCCTGCCCTCCAAAAGACCAAAATCCTAAACCTAAACATTTTCTCACATCTCACGGTTTCATTGTTTTATATTTTGATTTTGATCTACTAATTCGAGAGATACCCTTCCAACAGAAAACAAAACAAAACAATTCAATGTTATCTGTATAGAGGTAGTTGCATTTCTCATTTTAAGACAATGCTTCAGGTAAAAGGCACATCATATGGACCCTTGGGTCACTTTTTAACTCCTTGGATAAGTCTTTACCAACAGCTACTTCTATTTTGAAAATAGCTAGGTTTTTTGTTTTTGTATTTGTGCTTTTTGGGGAGGGTTTTTTTTCTCCCATTTCTAGCGCATGTTGCAATTTGTAGATTTTGTGGATGTTGCAGTTTGCTGGTTTTCTGGTCCCTCAGGATGTGGTTGAAATTACAAATATTTGTGGTTTGTAGTTTCTCAGTGTTTAGCTCACTGAAATGGCATTCCTTCCTCATCCTTCTTCCTATTCTACACCTACAAACTGTCTTTTTCTTCCTTTCTTCCATGCAAGCAGGAAAACAGGTCTTTGTTCCTATCCTATAACAATGCATGATTTTCACATGCAAGGATGCTGAGGCTAAATGACTCATGTGGGATGTATAGGTTGGTGCTTTAAGGAAGACTTTCTAGTTCTTGCTCCTGAGTGAGGGTAATATGACTCAAGATGGTTTAAGAGTGGGGAGATTTCAGAAAAATGATCATTGATGTGTCAATGATGAGGTAAGGGGAAAGGAGCAAGCTGTAACAGTCAAGAAGGGGTCAAGATGATTCTCCGTAAGAAGGAAGGCTTTGAGAAAAGACTTGAAGGTAAGGGAGTGAGGCCTGCAGACCATCTGAGGGAATAGTGCTCCACACAGAGGGAGCAGCTAGAGCAAAGCCTGAGGTGACAAGTCTCTGGCAAGTTTCAAGAAGAGCAACCAGCCAGTGTGCTGGAATGGAAGTAGTCAGGGAGAGTGGGAGCCTCTGGATAAGGAAGAGAGAGTGGCAGGAGCAGGGCAGATCCTGTAGGGTGTATAGTTATTGTCAGGACCTGAGCTTTTCTTCTGAGTGAAACAGGAAGACCTTGGAAGGTGACATGATTTGATTCACTGTTTTGAAAGGATCACTCTGGCTGCTGTATGAAAACAGACTTTGCGAGTAGCAGCAAACGTGGAAACATCAAGCCCAATTCTGTGGCTATTGCAGTAATGCAGGAATCCTTCCCCACCCAGAGGAGGGTAGCCCCACTGGGGTGATCAAATTGGAGATGGTGAGAAGGGTTGAATTAGAATATATTTTACAGGGGAAGTTTATGGGATGCCTAGACAGATTAGGTGTGGGATGTGAGATAAAGAAAGAAATTAAGAATAGCTCCAAGTGTTTTTGCCTGAGCAACTATTAGGTTGATGCAAAAGCAACTGTGGTTTTGCCAAATAGAAGGATGAATTGTCATCAGGCACAGCAGTTTCAGAGCAAAGAGAAGTTCAGTTGTGGTGAGGTTGAATGAGGGATGTCTATTGGACATCGCAGTGGAAATGTCAGGCCCCTGAATATGCAAGTCTGGAGTTCTGAGAGAGGTCTGGATTGGATGTACAAACTTTGGAGCTGTTAGTTGTTGACAAATGGATGGAATAAATTAGGCAACAAAATTTCACATAATATTTACTGGGAAATAGTGGCTTCCAGGAGCTTAGAGCAAGAAGGGAAAGAGTACCAGAAAAAGGTTTTATGCTTGTGGAGGAACTGAGACAGACAGGGCCTTGAAGGGAGACTAGGATGTCAGCAAAGAAAGGGGATGGGGAGCATATTATAGAGAAAGAGCAAACAGGGTGGGGATGTGTTGACGAAATTGAGAGGAGATGCATTTGACTGGAGTAGAAATAAGTGGAAGGAATTCTTGGAAATAGAAAATGTAGACCAGATTATCAACAACCTAAGAAACCGAATTGAATTTAGAGTTCATCCTACAGGCTGTGATTCCCAAACTCTACGGTGTTGAAATGAAAAAAGGAAAGAAAATGGATTATATTTTTCATATTATTAGATTTATTCAACTTGAAAGAATTCTTTTATTTTAAAATTGTTCTTTGTCCTATTTTAATTTTAAAATATCCTTTGATTGAGGAAATACACTTCATTTGTCAGGACCGACCTCTCCCTCCTTTCCTTTCCTTTCCTTTCCTTTCCTTTCCTTTCCTTTCCTTTCCTTTCCTTTCCTTTCCTTTCCTTTCCTTTCCTTTTTCCTTTCCTTTCCTTTCCTTTCCTTTCCTTTCCTTTCCTTTCCTTTCCTTTCCTTTCCTTTCCTTTCCTGTCCTCTCCTTCCTTCCTTCCCTCCCTCCCTCCCTCATTCCATCCTTCCTTCTTTCTTCTCTCCCACCTTCCTTCTCCCTAGTCCTTCAGTCCTTTCTTTTCCTTCCTCATATTCCTCTCCCTCCTCCTGCTTCTTCTCTTCTTTTCTCTTTTTCCTTGTATGCTGTTACTTGGCAGAATTATTAGCTGGCAAGTTTATGTGAGCAGATTTTTTTTTTCAGGTTTTATTGCCTTGAGAAATCACAAGGTCTGACTCCAATAAATAATAATATGGTTTTAAAGAGCTTTGGACACACATGTGATGGTGAAACATACTATTTTGGGAAGATTAAATTAGTAATGACATGTAAGAGAAAGGACAGGAAAAGAAAAGGCACAGAGAAAGCTTTTAGGAAACAAATGCTAGAATATAGGCATAAAACTTTAGTTTCTAAATTGACTGATGGTGGTAGAAATAGTCCTAGAAATAGCCATATAAATTGTATTAATGAAGAAATCCATATTATAAAGTGACTTACTGGTGGTTATGGGGGAATGTTTCATTCCAAAATATTGAATCTCATGGGCTGGAAGAATGATGCTGCCATTGGAAACATCCAAAGCGAGAGGTAAATCTGGAGATCAGAAGAATTTTCATTGTAGACATGTTGTGTAAGTGAGGTTGGCAATGTCAAGCAGGTACTTGTAGCTATAGCTTCACATCTCGTGAGTGATCAGGGCTGGAAGTAAAAATTTAAGTTTTGCTTTTGCTGAGGTTGTAGGAAGGGGAAGAAAAATGGGACAATTTAGAGTTAATGTCATTTTGAAGTGGGGAGGAATACATAGAGTCAAAGACAAAAATGCACTGGACAAAATTAAACAGGAAAAGAAGACCTTGTCAAGACTGTTGCAAGAGGGAAGAGTGAATTTACCTGTGATGAAACAAAAGGTTGGAGAATTTTCAAAGCTAGGGTGGTGGGAATTATAGGCCACCAGTATCTGCTAATTGACCTTACCTAAAGGAAAAGTAAACTTTCTCCTACTTTCCTAATAGGAGGTAGTGCTAAAACTTGGAGCAAGGCACCACTGATGTTAGGTTTCTCCGCTTCTACAGAGACCGTGTGATAGGGGCACTATCTCCCTTGATGATTACATCTCAAAGGAATGGCTCCCAGGGCCTTGAGAAAGACAGTCCTCCAAGGTCTGTAAAACTGCTGAGAGTTAAAGGAGATTTAAATGCTTTTCAAAAGGCGGAGAAATATTTTGTGATTACAAGTTTTTATTTATTTATTTATATATATATATTTTTTGAGACTGAGTCTTGTTCTGTTGGTAGGCTGGAGTGCAGTGACGCCAGTTTGGCTCACTGCAATCTCTGCTTCCCGGGTTCAAGCAATTCTCATGCCTCAGCTTCCCAAGTAGCTGGGATTACAGGTGTGTGCCGCCACACCCAGCTAATTTTTTATTTTTAGTAGAGACGGGGTTTCACCACGTTGGCCAGGATGGTCTCAATCTCCTGACCTTGTGATTTGGCCGCCTCAGTCTCCCAAAGTGCTGGGATTACAGGCGTGAGCCACCTCACCCGGCCACAAATTTTTAAAAGTAGATTCTTAAAGAAAAGGGAGATCCAAGACCCACAGTTAGAAGAAATCCAATTTGACTGAAGTTTAAAGTTTAATCAAGCAGAAGAAATAGGTAAGGCTGTCTTGATGAATAAAGTAAGTGAAGAAATAAGAGAAAGAACTGCTTAAGACGTGGGAAGACCAGACACCGAGTGAAGAAGACAAAGGAAGATAGAATTCCAAGGTGAAGAGAGGGCAGCAGTACATGCCTGGGAGAGGCCAAGGTGAGCCAGGGCTGAGAAAATGTCCGAGGGGTCACCGGTGATCTCCCCGTGTCTGCCAAGGCTGATGACTTGAAGCCTTCTCTTTCTTATGACTTTTATTATTCCACTAGTTATTACAGGATAATAAATACTACAATTCAATTTTTCAGGTTGACAGTAATTATAGGAAAATTATTTTTCCTCCTTAAATTTAACCATTGCCTTGTATTTAACCTCAAATTCCTGTTGCCTGTGGTAGTGATATTACCATTCCATAGATATGAAAAGTGAGACTTGCGCTGATGAGATGCACCTGCTGATTTATGTATGAAATATCTATTGAAAATAGAAGAGTATAGTGGGTAATACTATGATGAATACCTGGACCTTGGATTTAAATGATATTTAGTCTTTCAGGCATATTTGCATATGGTGAACAGGTGAAATGCAGTTAGCGATATTGCTCATTGTGAGGATAATGCTTTTTACTTGCTCAGGCATTTGAAAGCCAAACAAAGTAGAACACTATTATTGTAGTCATTGGTTAGTCCTTGTTAAAATCTCACAAATAAAGAAGCTCCTCTGTATGCTTCAGGAACATCCAGGGCTCAGTCCTATTGAGGCCTTAGGAACTGAGCTGTGAGTTCCTGTTTGCTTCTGAGCCTTTCTTACCAGCCTTGAGACATTGACGGCAGGGCTTGTGCTGTGCTTATTGCCCGTCTCTCACAACTGGTCCTTACACAGAGCAAGTGCTCCAAAATTATTTCCTAAATGAATGATTGAAAGTAACCATATATCTAGTTTAAAATGGGGAAACTAAGTTTTAGATTTAAGAGATTTAAGATTAGAGTCTGAGGAGGGTTTGTATTTAGACAATCCTTTATGTTCATCTCTCCTCAAAAGATCTTTAAAATGGATCTCTGCTTTTAAAAACATAATGGAAAGATGTCCTTTTTTTTCTCTTGGAATCACTGGTCTTCTGACTCTTTTGCAATAACAATACCAAGAACCTGTTTGCTGAGCAAGTATTAAGTGCTAGACGCTGTGTTCAGCTCTGCTGTATATGTGCTAAATCCTTTATGGCTTCATTTAGCACTCACAATCCAAGAGGAGGCTGTTCAGATTATGTTAATTTTGCAGATGAGAAAACTGAGGAACAGGAAGATACCTCCAACATTCAGTGCACTTTTATCCAAATACATTAGAAGGTACTTCTTCTTATGTGGACCCAGCCCTCAAAGAGGTGCATGGTTTGATGAGTGTAACAGCAGGTGGTTTCAGTCCTTACTGTCCCTGCAAAAGGGATACTTGAAGCCTGGAGGCTCTGAAAGGTTGTTACTTGCCCAGTTTTGCAGTCTGATAAATGCTATAATTCAGAATTGAACCCACGTCTGTCTCCCCCACCCCCTGACTGAACACTTCCACAAGTTGCCATTTTAAACCAGATTCTACATTGATTTATATAGGACAAGGGTTGGCAAATTTTTCCTGTAGAAGGCCAAATAGTAAATACATACTTAAGGCTTTGGGGGCCATATGGTCTCTGTCACAACTACTTAACTCTACCATTGTAGTGCAAAAACAGCTATAGACATTATATAAACAAATGGCTGTGTTCAGTAAAACTATGTACACTGACATTGGAATTTCTTGTAACATATTCTTCTTTTGATTTTTTCAGCTTTATGTAATACTGTAAAAAAAAAAAAGGTATTAGCTTGCTGGGGTCTTACCAAATAGATTGGCTGGATTTGACTCTTGTACCATAGTTTCCTAATTCCTGATATCAAATATTCCAAAAAGAATCCAGTAAATGAAATAATTATCTGTTTCATGACTCTGTTTTCTTTCCCTAACTCTAAATTCATGAAACAAAATTGTGGAGACCCATTTTCCCCGTTCTGTGTCTGTTTCATTCTAATGTGGCTGCTGTGAATTCACTATTTTCTAGATAGATTGCAGCAATAATAACTAATGCTCTTTTGAAACTTTCCAGTGATTCCTCTGTCCCATAGTTATGTTGCAAGGGCAGCAGTCACCCTGATTTGTTTTTATATCTCTATGATTCTCTTCACTAGAATTTTAGTTATATTTGGCAGAATAAAGTTTTTTATTCTATAACTTGCTTTTAGTGAAGAAAAGGAAATTAGATGCAGATGACACAGTCCCTGAATACACTAATCCCAGACATCAGCTCGGTTAACTGGATACAAATTCAGGCTTTCCCATTGTGTTTGTTTTGATAGCCAGAGCCACTATCAGAGCAAGAAAGATGTTAGTCATGAAAGAAAAACAGTTTCATTTTGCCCAAAACTTTATAAACATATTGGGGAAATGTGGAACACTACAGAATTCAGTCCCGTAATCAGATACCATGTTGCAAACTATGGACTTAAGAGTCAGATGAAGAAGAGTATGAAACTAGATTTGATTACATATAGATCTATATCACGAGCGAAACTAGAAGCTTCTCAGTTTTACATAGGCATGCCTCTCTTTAGAACTGAAAAAGTTCTAATAAATATTTATTACTCAAATGTCATTTTTCTTAAACAGGGTAGAAATGTTCTTGGCTTGCCAGGGTCTTACAAAATAGATTGGCTGGATTTGACCTTTGTGCCATAGTTTCCTAATTCCTGATATTGAATATTTCAAAAAGAATCCAGTAAATGAAATAGTCATCAGATAGATAGATGATAGACAGACAGATAGATAGATAGATAGATGATAGACAGATAGATAGATAGATAGATAGATAGATAGATAGATAGATAGATAGCAAGACCAGGTTGCATTTTCCCTGACGCTTTTCCCATCATGTTTGGCTTATATATATACTAGGTCTGTAGGTCTTTAGAAAGTGCATAATTTATTTTTAATTAATTTATTTAATTTATTTTTTTTGAGATGGAGTCTTTCTCTGTCGCCCAGGCTGGAGTGCGTGGCATGATCTTGGCTCACTGCAACCTCCGCCTCCCAGATTCACGCCATTCTCCTGCCTCAGCCTCCCGAGTAGCTGGGACTACAGGCGCCCACCACCATGCCTGGCTGATTTTTTGTATTTTTAGTAGAGATGGGGTTTCACCATGTTAGCCAGGATGGTCTCGATCTCCTGACCTTGTGATCCGCCCACCTCAACCTCCCAAAGTGCTGCGATTACAGGTGTGAGCCACTGTGCCCGGCCATTTTTAATTTTTTTAAGACAAATCTTTGCAATCAGTCGATATGATAATATTGTAATAATAAATTATATTTGTATCTGGAGATGCATAATATTTTGTCGATGCTACTAATGGAGGCTTTTTTTAAGGGAAAAATAAAAAATTTTGAGTATCTAGCAGGGCTAGCCCATCTACTTTGTGTTCTGTCAGTGCAATTTTCTGATTTTCCTGTTCTTGGCACATGCATAGAAGAAACAAACTAACCACTAAATTTTTAGCAGTTTCATGGCCTCTAGTTGCATGTCCTTATTTCTGAACATGGGTGTGAATTCTAAGAAAAGGGGAAACCAAATGTTCATAGAGCCCTTTTGAAAGCTGTATAGCACAGCCAAATGGTGTGCCATTTCTATGAGTGCTGTGGCTGGATCCTCATGTGGGAAAGGTCTGGTGAGAAATGTATTCCTTCTGTACATGGACAGTCACAGATAGGGGCTGTCTTACATAAGACCATATTTTTGAAGGTGAGATCAAGATTTATACATTTGACAATATTTCTCCCATAGGGTACCACAGTTTTCCATGCGTTTCTATGACATCCTTTTTCCGTTATATTCTTGTTTGCCTAGATTTTAGAGCTTAATGTGTTTGTGCCTGTGGACGGTAGCTGATTTATTCATGAATATTTAGAATTTTGTAAAGAAAGATGCACTTTGGAATGTTCTTTCTAAGAACAGGCTACTTAGGTATTTGCCTGAAAATTTCTATAAAGTATTAGTATTAATCTTCTTTCTCTTTTGCTCTTTTTCTTTTCTTCCCTGAATTTTTTCTCATAAAAAAAAAAACCACAAAACAAAACATTATTACTGAGGATCCTAGGGATTAGGCATTTGGGAGATACCCCTTGTTCCCTTGGAAACTGTTTGTACAGTAAAAGTTCAGTAAACATTCTTCTTTGTATCCATGTCTTTTGCTGTTTTTTTTCTTTAGAGTTCATTCTTTCAGTAAGTAGTTTTTTCTTTCTTTCTTTCTTTTTTTTTTTTTTGAGATGGAGTCTCACTCTGTCTCCCAGGCTGGAATGCAGTGGTGCAATCTCGGCTCATGGCAAACTCCACCTCCCGGGTTCAAGCAATTCTCCTGCCTCAGCCTCCTGAGTAGCTGGGATTACAGGTGCCCGCCACCACGCCCAGCTAATTTTTGTATTTTTAGTAGAGATGGGGTTTCACTATGTTGGCCAGGCTGGTCTCATACTCCTGACCTCGTGATCACCTGCCTCGGCCTCCCAAAGTGCTGGGATTACAGGCGTGAGCCATTGTGCCCGGCCTCAGTAAGTAGTTTTTAAATGCCAGACATGGAGTATACGGTGCTAAGTAGGCTAGATGTAACCCCTGACTTCCTAGAGCTCACAATAAATCATGGTAGAAAATATAAATTAAACAAATAATCACAAAATTCATAATTCGTTGCATCGTGATAAGTACTAAAGATTAAAGTATAGAGAAATATGAGTTGTTTAATCAAAGGGGCATTTTATAGTCAAAGGGTCCAAGGAAGACTTCCATGAAGTGACTTAATATGAGCCCTGTAAAATGAGTAGGTGGTTTTTATATGAAAGGGTTTAAGAACAGCGCCCAGAGTAGGTGCCTTAAGGCTGGAGGAGCTCAGTAGTTAGGAAGGGAAAGAACACCACTGTGGTTTTTGTGTAGGTCATATTTCAGCTTCAATGAGAGAACATCTGATTTATGAATGCATGAGATTGCATTCTTGCATTGATGTGTATATACCATTTCCCAACAAGAACCATTGTTGGTTTGTCATCTACTTGATAATTTTTTTTAATATTCATCTTATTATTTAACTACATGCAATAAATTGTGTTTCACCATCAAAAAGTCTGCAGGATTCTGCCTAAATTCTGCCTATGGGTAATTTGCTTTGAACCAAAATAATCCTTACATGAAAGATAGAGACCAGTCTAATCCTGATTAGTGATTTTTCCTAAATTCCTTTTAGATGTATTTGTAAAGAATCTGCAGCATTTTGGGAAAGTTTTTGTTTATTATTTCCTGTCACAACAATATAACATAAAACATAATATATATTAAATAGAAGATACATTTGTAGAATTTCAAGAAATTAAAATAATATAGTTAAAATCTAGTTTGACATTATACTTTCTGAATTATTTTCTGGTGTTTCCTTAAAATATATATACATTTGGAATTTGACCATAAGCTGTGCTGACTGCTTTGTTTTTGCTTTTTGCCTACTTTAGTCTAACGGGATCGCAGCCATCATTGTTATTTTGGTGTTACTGCTACTCCTGGGGATCGGTTTGATGTGGTGGTTTTGGCCCCTTTGCTGCAAAGTGGTGAGTAAGAAGGATTTACAACTCTACTTAAAAAAAATTAGAAAGATGTAAAGTAAGGTCTGAAATATGAATAAATGCCATGTTAATAACAGCAAAGTTTCAGTTTGCAAAATGAATTTTAATTGTCTTCACTACTATAATAAATTCTAGAAAACATGCAGGTCAGTAAATATT
Organism: Homo sapiens; assembly: GCF_000001405.40. Lineage (NCBI taxonomy): Eukaryota > Metazoa > Chordata > Mammalia > Primates > Hominidae > Homo > Homo sapiens. The sequence goes on along the minus strand of NC_000004.12, from coordinate 80,008,346 downwards.
TATTTAAAAAATTCATCTAAAAAGCACTTTTAAATCAGGTTTGTGGGAAGAGGAGGAGAGAAAAATAGGGGAAGTAGTTGGGATAAAGGGTATTTTCATTCAAGTGCAAGAGAAATTCAAGTAAATTGAATGATGTTTTCTTTTGGGTTCATTGAGAGGAGTTGATAATTTGTCAGTTTTTTTAAGTGCTCATTTAATTATTCATTTCCTCTTTGAAGGGTCTACCATTTCATGACCTTCTCTGTTTGCTACTGAAAAATATTTGTTCGGAAATTAGTCATGCACAATTGTCAGCATATCTGTTAAACTGCTACTTTTGGAGTAATGACGAGGAGTTTCAGTTTGTGTCATTTTTTGTGTTTGTATAAAGCCTGTGAAAGAATATGGGTGTATATCAGTTATCTATTGCTGCTGTAACAAATTGCCACACATATGTTGACTAAAAGCAACACAAATTTATTATCTAACAGCTGTCTAATCACAGCTTTCACATGAGTCTCACTGGGTTTACGTGGACTAAAATGTGTTGGAAGGGATGTGTTTCTTTCTGAATGCTCTAAGGAAGAAGCCATTCCTTTGCCTTTTCCAGCTTCTAAAGGCTACTCAGATTCTTTGCCTCATACCCCCCTTTCTCTATCTGCAAAGCCAGATGTGTTGCATCTTTTCAACCATTTTTCTGTAGTCACATCTCCCTCTAACTCTGAACCCAGCTGGGAAAGGTCCTCCAGTTTTAAGGAACCATGGGATTAGATTGGACGCACTTAGCTAATCCAGGATCATCTCCCATCTCAAGATCCTGAACCTTAATCACTTCTGCAAAATCCCTTTTGCCATTAAGATAACATATTCACAGTACCAGGTAATTAAGTTATGGAGATGTTGGTGGGGGGTATCATTCTACACATTTCAAGCAATCCAATTTAGATTGTTCAGGTTTCATAGAAAAAAAATTATCTTAAGGAAGCCCTCTTCCAAATCATGCCTACTATTTATTTTGAGAATATTCCTTTTATTATAAGCACATTGTGTAGAACTTAATATTGTGTAGTTCATGGTAATGTTTTACATAATACTGCAAGACTGCCTTTTCCCGCCGCTCTCATGTTTGCTGACTGATTTCATCATCCTTGCAATTTCAGATGTGCTTTGTTTTAGCCCTGCGTTTATTATTAGTTGTACTTCAGTTTGCTTTCATGAGGCAACTTGACAATCCTTTATCTCAGAGCAGTTGGCCCATGGAGGAGGCATAGAATTAACTCAGATAACAGTAGAGACAAGACGCATCCTGTCTCTTTGCTGAACTAATCAGTTTCCTGCCATAGCAATTTATGCTCAGTTTCCTGTTGTAATCTTGATTATCTAGTTATGGCTATTTTAGGGTGGCTAGCATTCTTGAGTATCACATTAAAAAGCAAAAAGATGCCCTAATGTAATTTGTGCTCCTTGGTTTTTTAATTTAAACTTTGCAGTGGTGCATTTCCCCTCCTTTTTTTAAATTATCACTTTGCAATTTCATTTAGTATTGACCAGAGGGCTCAGAAGTGTCAAAGTGTATGATTTTTAAAAAGACATATGCAAAATGAAATGTGCTCAAATATGGGTTTTGACTGTCATTTTGGATATTAAGGAGAGGAGCCAATCATCAGGTGACTAGATCAGAGACTAGATACATGGTACTCTAAAGCCTTGGACTCTACAGATCTCAAATCATGGAGTTACTTTCTACGAGGCATAAAGGGAGCCCTTTAATGGTGGAGTATCAGGATGTCAGAAAGGCTTCCCGTCCTCAGAAACATCACAAATGCTTATTAATTTCCTGAACTTATTTAATAGAGGAAACTTCCTTTATTTTACCCTTAGAAATATAGATTAAAAAGCAATTAGCCCTTATAAGTTCATATAAGTATGAACTTATATTTATACCTACATATAAGTGAATGATAGCAAACGTTTTCTAAAGTAGATTTTAAAGCAGGAAGAAAGGAGAGGTGAAATTCTGAATTCAGCCCTTGGCTAATATTGATTATCTAGTAGGTGTCAGTACTGTGCTAGGAACTGGGGATACAAAAGTGCTTATAATATGATATGGAAATTCACATTTTAATATGGAAACATAGAAATGTGTGCAAATAAGTGTAAATGGAAGGTAACTGAAGTCCTAATAGCGGCGTGTGTAAAGAACAGTAGAAACATAAAGGAGGAAGGGTTTGCCAAGACTAAAGGGAGCATTTCAGAGAAACCTGACTGACCTGATGACTCCCAATTCAGTTCTGAGTCATGAATAAGATGTTGACAGTTCTTGAATGACATTTCAGATGAAGTGCATGTGGAATCATGAGTTATTCTGACATGTTTTCAGAAGTGCTAGGCTGAGACCTACTGTGCTAGGTGAATGATGGTTTGGATTTTGGCATGAACCCATAGGGGAGGACCTCCTATGTCTTGTAATAGAAAGTCTGATCTCTTCCCAGGGATGACGAGAAGCCACTGGAGAGATTCGATCAGTCTAATTACCTGAAAGAAACTTTGCTGGCTTCACAGTAGTGCTAAAGTCTAGTCCTGGCAAAAATTATTTAAGACTGTATCCAACTGAGTTCCATTAACAATGGAAATGGAAAGGCAGTGACAGATATTGCACCTTAAATATAGCCAGAACAAAGTACTTCTAACAAAGTATAGACAGCTGGAATCTCAAGCTGAAATTAAGTGAGCTAGAGAAAAATGAAGACATGATGTAAAAAGGAGGTAGTGTGACAATAACCTTGTGGAAAAGGATCTTGAGTTTTCAGAGGGTATTATAATACAATCGCAGGGTGTTTATCTTATTTTGTTTCTTTTAGGTTATATATTTGTGCAATGCTGAAATTAGGATGTGACCATTTAAATAATTCTTAGTAGCGTTAAATTATTGGAGATCAATATGACTTTGACTGTCATTCCTAGCAATGAACTTTTTAATAGAAAATGAAATTTATCTATTTATCAGCGTGGTGTTGTGCAAATTTCTTTTTGCTTGAATATGTTTTAAGAACTAGTGGCAAATATTTAAATCTAATCTTTCAACTGAAACATGACTAAAGAGCTTAAAATGTCTATTCTCAGGCACATTTATGGTGTGTCAGCTATCCACCTCCATGAGCATCGTATGCTCAGGAGCTCTTATCAATACAGAGAACATGGAAAGAAAACTCCCTGAATAGAAATCTCAATATCTGTCACATATTCTTCATTCAGTCATTTCATGTTTTATAAAATGCCAAAATATGAAATATTAAGTCATATTTTATAACATGATTGAATCACTTGTTATCCAGAGTTTAAAATCTCATAGACCTCTAATCAATGAGTCAGTGATGACAATGTTACTTATATTTTAGACAGAGATTCTCAGGTTTTTTTTTTCTTTTTTCTGCCTCAACAGCAAGTCTTTCAGAACAGTGGCTGTCAGGTTTCCAATGGTGGTAATTCTCCTGGAGAGGAAGTGGGTTTGGGTAGACTGAGGCAGCTCCAGAGGTCATGCAGTTTGAAAAAGCCTCCTTCAATAAAGTGAATAAAGATCCCTAAAGACATGCAGGTCTCAATCCCTGGAACCTTGTAATGTTACCTGATATAGCAAAAGGGACTTTACAGATGTGATTAAATTAAAAATCTTGACATTATTCAGGATGATCTAGATGGGTCATAAATGCAGTCCAAGCCTTATAAAAGGGAGACAGAGGGAGATTAGACTATAGATGGAAAGAAGGCAGTGTAACCATAGATGCAGAAATTGGAGTGATGCAGCCACAAGCCAAGGAATGCTGGCAGCCACTAGAAGCTGGAAGAGGCAAGAAACAAATCCATCCCTAGAGCCTACAGGAAGAACCAGCTTGGCCAACACCTGATTTTTAACCCTGTAAGACTCACTTCAGACTCCAGACTTCCAGAAGTATAAAAAAAAAGTTTCTGTGGTTTTAAGACACTAAGTGTATGATAATTTGTTATAGCAGCAAGAAGAAACCTATATTATCTCCTGAATTTTCTGATATTCCCCAGAGTTGGGGAATTTTTATGTTTTCAGACAAACTCATTACAAAAAAGAAAAGAAAACAAAAACCCTGAACTTTTTATTTTTTTATTTTATTTTTTTTCATAATTTTTTTATTTCAAAAATGTTATATAAATGGAATCATACAGCATGTAATATTTTGAGACTGGCTTTTTTTCATTCAGCATAATTCCCGAGATCCACCCAAGCTTCTGTGTGTAGTCGTAGTCCACTCTGTTTTTACTGCTGCATAGTAATTAATGGTGTAGATGTACCACAGTCTGTTGAATTATTCACCTGTTGAAAAACATTTAGGTTGTTTATAGGTTTTCCCTATTATGAATAAAGCTACTATGAACATTTATGTACAGGTTTTTACATAAACTTAAGTTTTCATTTTTCTAGGTAAATGCCATCTGTGACTCCTGAGTTATAAAGTAGTTGTATATCTAGTTTTATGGGAAACTGCCAAACTGTTACCCAGAGTGGTGGTACCATCTCACATGCCCACTAACAATGAATGAGTGATTCAGTTGCTCCTTCAGATTTTCAGCATTTGGTGTTTTCTCTATTTTTATTATTGCCATTCTAATAGGTATGTAATGATATCTCATCGTGGTTTTAATTTGAGTTTCTATAACAGCTAGTGAGGAACATGTTTTCGTGTGCTTATCTGCCATTATTTGCTTATATCTTTGGTGAAATGGCTCTAAATGTATTTTGTCCATTTTCTTTTTATTTTATTTTATTTTATTATTATTATACTTTAAGTTTTAGGGTACATGTGCACAATGTGCAGGTTAGTTACATATGTATACATGTGCCATGCTGGTGTGCTGCACCCATTAACTTGTCATTTAGCATTAGGTATATCTCCTAAAGCTATCCTTCCCCCCTCCCCCCACCCCACAACAGTCCCCAGAGTGTGATGTTCCCCTTCCTGTGTCCATGTGTTCTCATTGTTCAATTCCCACCTATGAGTGAGAATATGCGGTGTTTGGTTTTTTGTTCTTGCGATAGTTTACTGAGAATGCTGATTTCCAATTTCATCCATGTCCCTACAAAGGACATGAACTCATCATTTTTTATGGCTGCATAGTATTCCATGGTGTATATGTGCCACATTTTCTTAATCCAATCTATCATTCATGGACATTTGCGTTGGTTCCAAGTCTTTGCTATTGTGTGTAGTGCCGCAATAAACATACGTGTGCATATGTCTTTATAGCAGCCTGATTTATAGTCCTTTGGGTATATACCCAGTAATGGGATGGCTGGGTCAAATGGTATTTCTAGTTCTAGATCCCTGAGGAATGGCCACACTGACTTTCACAATGGTTAAACTAGTTTACAGTCCCACCAACAGTGTAAAAGTGTTCCTATTTCTCCACATCCTCTCCAGCACCTGTTGTTTCCTGACTTTTTAATGATTGCCATTCTAACTGGTGTGAGATGGTATCTCATTGTGGTTTTGATTTGCATTTCTCTGATGGCCAGTGATGGTGAGCATTTTTTCATGTGTTTTTTGGCTGCATAAATGTCTTCTTTTGAGAAGTGTCTGTTCATGTCCTTCACCCACTTTTTGATAGGGTTGTTGGTTTTTTTCTTGTAAATTTTTTTGAGTTCATTGTAGATTCTGGATATGAGCCCTTTGTCAGATGAGTAGGTTGCAAAAATTTTCTCCCATTTTGTAGGTTGCCTGTTGACTCTGATGGTAGTTTCTTTTGCTGTGCAGAAGCTCTTTAGTTTAATTAGATCCCGTTTGTCAATTTTGGCTTTTGTTGCCATTGCTTTTGGTGTTTTAGACATGAAGTCCTTGCCCATGCCTATGTCCTGAATGGTAATGCCTAGGTTTTCTTCTAGGGTTTTTATGGTTTTAGGTCTAACGTTTAAGTCTTTATTTCATCTTGAATTAATTTTTGTATAAGGTGTAAGGAAGGGATCCAGTTTCAGCTTTCTACACATGGCTAGCCAGTTTTCCCAGCACCATTTATTAAATAAGGAATCCTTTCCCCATTGCTTGTTTTTGTCAGGTTCGTCAAAGATCGGTTAGTTGTAGATATGCGGCATTATTTCTGAGGGCTCTGTTCTGTTCCGTTTATCTATACCTCTGTTTTGGTACCAGTACCATGCTGTTTTGGTTACTGTACCCTTGTAGTATAGTTTGAAGTCAGGTAGCGTGATGCCTCCAGCTTTGTTCTTTTGGCTTAGGATTGACTTGGTGATGCGGGCTCTTTTTTGGTTCCATACGAACTTTAAAGTAGTTTTTTCCAATTCTGTGAAGAAAGTCATTGGTAGCTTGATGGGGATGGCATTGAATCTATAAATTACCTTGGGCAGTATGGCCATTTTCAGGAAACCCATCTCACGTGCAGAGACACACATAGGCTCAAAATAAAAGGATGGAGGAAGATCTACCAAGCAAATGGAAAACAAAAAAAGGCAGGGGTTGCAATCCTAGTCTCTGATAAAACAGAATTTAAACCAACAAAGATCAAAAGAGACAAAGAAGGCCATTACATAACGGTAAAGGGATCAATTCAACAGGAAGAGCTAACTATCCTAAATATATATGCACCCAATACAGGAGCACCCAGATTCATAAAGCAAGTCCTGAGTGACCTACAAAGAGACTTAGACTCCCACACAATAATAATGGGAGACTTTAACACCCCACTGTCAACATTAGACAGATCAACGAGACAGAAAGTTAACAAGGATACCCAGGAATTGAACTCAGCTCTGCACCAAGCGGACCTAATAGACATCTACAGAACTCTCCACCCCAAATCAACAGAATATACATTTTTTTCAACCCTGAACTTTTTATAGGGTACAAGCAATTGCAAAATAAGAGGCAATGAAATATTCTTTAAAATATTTGCGGTGTTTGGTTTTTTGTTCTTGTGATAGTTTACTCAGAATGTGGGAATTGAACAATGAGATCACATGGACACAGGAAGGGGAATATCACACTCTGGGGACTGTTGTGGGGTGGGGGGAGGGGGGAGGGATAGCATCGGGAGATATACCTAATGCTAGATGACGAGTTAGTGGGTGCAGCGCACCAGCATGGCACATGTATACATATGTAACTAACCTGCACAATGTGCACATGTACCCTAAAACTTAAAGTATAATAAAAAAAAATTTGCAATGGTACCAAGGCTATTGAAACCAATATGCATCCTTTAAAATTAGAATAACCCCTCTGTTTTGTAACTTTGAAGTTAATATGCATAATGCTTCATATACTGAGTAGAATTTACTTACAATCTTAGAGCAACAAGGGATTTTTGGAAGAGACGGGTTTACAATTTTCAGAAGTGCCTCACGCATATATGTTATTAGAATCATTTGACAACAGAGATCCATGGACAGCTTCCTCAGGGGTGATATGATTTGCTAGAGGAGCCAGCACAGTTTCATTCATATTCAGATATTGAACTATTGAACCTCTTAAAAGCTAGAAATTGACCTTCACTCTATGGAGGAAAGCAAAGAATTTGAACATTTGACTAATTACTGTGTCTGTGAAACTATGACGTTTACCTGGTTAGCTGTACCAGTTTTATATCAGGAAAAAGAAACATGTCAAAGTCAGAAACATCCCTTCTATGATGTTTTATATTAAATTTTTAGCCAAAATTCTTATAACATTATCCTGTCAGGTGAGCAAATGTTACCCTTTTGGTGATGCTTAAGTAAAATTACAATTAGATAATGATTTATGTATTATTTGTTTAAAATCTCTCTCCCCTTATAGACTAATAATTTCATGAAGGCAGGTACTGTGTGTATTCTACCTATCATTGTAAACCAGGCATGTTGCATGGTGAATACTTATTATTGAATGCATCTTCTTCACCTATCCCAATTCTTAAAATTGAGAAAATTGATATTGCTTTACTTGGAAATCAAATTCAAAATAGAGTACCTTTTTGCTAGTTATAGTAAAAAATTCTGTCAATTATGGAGAAGTATTGTGCTTGAGGAAATTTATGATACAATCACTCTTGATATAATTTTCATTGACTTCATTTAAAATTTGTTTCTCATAATATATATACAATGGGAAATGTGGCCTTTGTAATCATTTTTAGTAGGAACTAAGATACAACTACATAAGAATTTATTAATTATAATGAAACTCTGAAGTAGAAGCAGTTCAACTTTTGTCTAGTTGCTGCTACATATACCCCACAGGGATGCCTCACCTAAGAATTGTGAATTTATGTGGAAAAAAATATATATCTTTCTTTTTTCTTCCAACTGAAATTTATCGTTTTTGTCATTGATTTTTTTACCCTGCCCACAAAAATATTAGCAGTTGTGAAAACTGTCACCAGTAGCAATCACATGTATCCCATATCATATTTATAGTTGCTCAGATTTTTTTTTGAGTCAGGTTCTCTGTCACTCAGGCTGGAGTGCAGTGACATGATCATAGTTTGCTGCAGCCTAGAACTCCTCGGCTTAAGGGATCCTCCTGCCTCAGCTTCAGCCTCCCAAGTAGTGGGGAATATAGGCATGCACCATAACTACTGACTACTATTCAGATATCTTTGAAATGTGTTTTACAGGCATTGCTACTTTAAAATTATGATAGTTTCTAAACTTATTACAAGAGCTTATTACTTAATGAGTTAATAAAGAAACATACATATTTCCATATCTCATATTTTAAAAAATAAATTTGAAAATTACATTTCAATATGATTGGGGTCCTTTAAATTCTATACATTTTAATTTAGAATAATTATTATGGGATAGATTCACCAGACTGCTAAGGAGTGGTGTAGTAGTCCATTTTTACACTCCTATGAAGAACTACCTGAAACTGGGTAATTTATAAAGAAAGGTTTAATTGACTTACAGTTCTGCATAGCTGGGGAGGCCTCAGGAAACTTACAATCATGGCAGAAGGTGAAGAGGAAGCAAAGACCTTCTTCATGAAGAAGGAAAGAGAGGCCTAGTAAGAGGAGGGGAAACTGCCTCATTAAATAATCAGATCTTGTGAGAGCTCACTATCATGAGAACAGCATGGGGAAAACCGCCTCCATGATTCAGTCACCTCTCACCCAGGTCCCTCCCTCAACACGTGGGGATTATGGGGATTACAATTCGAGATGAGATTTGGGTGGGGACAAAGAGCCAAACCATATCAAGGGGCATATAATAAAAAAGATTAAGGAAAAACTCCTGCCATAGAAGATCTGGTCAGCCAAGATGCTTTTAATAAGAGACTATTTTTAAATTTTAAATCTTTCAGTTCATACTAAAGAGTCTTTTCAAGAATGACAGAGAGATGTGATGTAATCTAAATGTTGCAGATAGTGTCCTCTGTGTGCGTGGGCTTTCCATACAAAAGTATAAATCTAAACCAATGATATTTGGAGACCTTTATCTAGCAAGCCTTATAAAAAAGGAGCCTCATGTAAATTTGAATATTTAGGCACTACCATTAGTGAATGATAGATTGTGTTGAGTTTTCAAACTGTTCCATGAAGGGAAGAGTTCTCATTTTTTGTGAGGTTATGTCTTAACATCTGTTTAAGAGTCTGTATCCTGTTCATTGAGTATCCTTCCTCATATCCATCCTCTATAACTGCCTTTCTTTAACAAAGCCGTCATCAGCATCCTGTCTTTTTCCCTAGGTTAAAAAGGCAGGAGGCATTAAAACAAAACTTATCCTGTTTTGAATTGTTAGTGACATCAGAAATTATGGATGTTTTCATCATTGTTTAGATTAGGGGATATTTTGAGTTAAGAGCAAATTTGTTTTACTAATCAGGATAGGAGAAATGACAGTCCTATAGTTGCATAGTTTGGGGTAACCAGACAGTCCAGATGAATTACAGATGAGGTGGCAAACAAAGGCTTTCTGTAGTGTTGTCAGTTAGATTGTGTTATATAGCTGCAAATAATACCTGAATATGCTGAAAATGACAAATGTTCACTTGCTTTAGTGTCCTTGGCCAATGTTCTGCAGCCTCAAGGGAAAATTGCAAATTCATTTTTCTTTAGTGCATTTAAGACGTTACATAAAGATCTCATAGATCTTAATTTAAAATACCATTTACAAATGGTCTTTTTTATGTTTTTAAAGCCCAATTTGCCTATAAGTTAGTTGATCTCACGCGATGATGATATGTCTAGCTGGAACTCTATAGAATCATTTTGTTAGCCAGCAACAGCTGTGCTGTTCTTTTCTAAATAGTAATAATGCTGTACATTGCACTTGTTTTTATTGTTGAGAAGGGCTCCTGGTACCTTTATTGAGGTACTTTGAGAGCAGCCTGATTTCTTTTTTGGAATGCACAATAAAATATAAGTAATTTAAATTTTAATATACCTTCCTTACACCATTAATTAAAATGATTTATGTTTGGTTGCCTTCTTGAAATAGAGTGTGATGTTAGGTCTTTCATGCTTTCATGGTGATGCTTTCCGACAGAGCATCTTTTACGAGACAGTATCAAACTCATCCTGGTCTCAGTTTATTTGCTTTGACAGAAGCACCTTTACTTAACTCCTGGCAGAATACACTCTCACACTGTTCTTCTTAGTTCTCATTTAGCATTCTAAATTATATTTATTGTCCAGATTTCAGGCTACTTATTTACTTGTTCAAAGTAGAATTATTTGATCATTGATGAGTTTGTCGAGGAAGAAATAAAAAGCAGAGGATGAGATAACTTGAATCATATTTTGGTCAGGATGTTGAAGGCTAGATGTTGAAGTTAGATACTTTGTGGGATTCAGAAAAGAAGGACTTCACAAGCAGTAATGTAAGAACTTTGTGTTTTTGTATGTCAAAAGAAAGGCATTTTACTTCCTCTCTGATCTTATCAAAAAGAAAAGGGAGAATGAAAGGAAGACCCCCATATATTTTAAAGAAATTCTTGTAAATACTAAGAATGTTTCTCTATTGTCTGTGGGTCCCTAGGCACCTAGATGACATTGCCGATAAATTGGGCATTTTTTTTGTCACTGGCAAAAATCAGTTCTGAAATACTACTTAGTCTACAGTCATTGTACAATATCTTTTTTTTTTAATCCAAGGCAATTCAATGTTGACAGTTCTTTTCACTCTTTTCTGAATATTGGAACATATGATTGCATCAAGCTGGCTGCAGGCTCCAGTGCTGACATTTTTTAGCGCAAAGAATGCCCATATCACTTGAACATTTGAAAAGTGTTAATGAGCAGATCAAAAGGACTGTTGCCTGAAGCAGCTAACTTTTTTTTTTTTAAAGAAATCGGCTCTCTTCCAAACTGAAATCTTCATTCTAGCAGCTAAGTAGATGAGATGTAATCCTTCCTGATGATGATAATAACAAATGAAAAAAAAATTGGAGAAGAATCAAACTCTGCATATGGTTCATAAAGTGGTGAAAGTGTTTTCCAGAATCTTCAATACAGAGCTGAAGGATGCTAAGTGGAAAAAATTCTGGCAACTAGGCAATATTATGCCTTTTAAAATCTGCAAATTCTCATAAAATATGGTGCATATGAATACATTCTTTTCTGAAATGAATGTGTATTCTTGCACTATTTGATATAAGAATGGAATTCTCATGACTGTAGTTTTTAATGTATTTTTACTAACAGTAAATCTTTCTTTTCTCTTGAACTAGTTTTACTGAAATGTAGGAATGTCAGTTGAACACAGATTTTTGCCATTTTTGGCTTTTGAGCCAAATGGCTTCAGATTATTTTCACCCTTCTTTGTTACTCATGAGGTTGTGTGGCAGAGTGGAGAGAGGGAAGATTTTGGAACATCACAAGAAAACCATTTTGTTTCTCGTCCCCAAATTTTTATGTGGGTGACATTGGGCATATTAGCTAAATGTTATATCTATATAAAATGGTGATAAACTCTATCTTACATAGTTATTAAAAGTTTTAAATATAACTATCTGTGTAATTATCTATCATCTATTTGTCAATTCATTCATTCATCCATCCATCCATCCATCCATCCATCCATCCATCCATATATCCATCCGTCCATCTACCCATCCATCCATGCAAGTAAGTAACAACTACTCAACAAATCATAGGCTTTTTCTTCTGCACCCTTTCCCTTTGCAAACTAAATCTTATTTTAAAAAGATGTCATATGGCAGAAGTTGAATTCAGAGTTGGAGATAGGTAGACTTGGTCCTCGGTTTGAATCCTAATTCTGTGTTTTCTCTTTGTATATATTTGGGCAAGTTATTGAAGTTACAGCTTTCCTCTCCTTATATTTAAAATGAGGATAAACATAGTGATTGCACAGAGTTATTATGAAAATAAAAGAGCTATAGAGACAGAGCATGTGGCATCTGGCAGCACCAATAAAGGGTGGTTCCTGTTAATAGTGTTAACAACACACAGATGAGCCTTAGCTCTGGTTCAGTTTCTGAAGGTACTATTATTTGTTGTGATGGTGGTTGTGTGCCTTAATTTACCAGATCAAAATGTGATTTAGATAGAGCTTTGAGGGCTTCGTTTTCATTATTAACAATGTAGAAAATATACTTGTCAGGACTTTAATTCATTTTAAATGTATAATAAGTCATGAATTATTCACACAAAAGAATAATGGCATGCTATTGAAAAGAACTCTAATGTTCTTTTCTGGAATAAGGTGAATATAATTGCATATAGACATATGGCCATATTTATCCATGGAAAGGCATAGAAGCAAAAACCTGGTGGAAACATTGTAATATGTATTTTTTATCATTTTATAAGAATTGACATTTTGACAAGGACCTACAGTTAATCCAATTTATTTCCCAGATGAATAAACTTAGTATACTTCTATCTCCTCTTCTACAATTGGGTTATCTGACTTTATTGGTTCAGGAAAAAATTTAGTGCTTCATTTTCTTAGGGACTAGTAATATTTTAGTTTCATGTAAATCTATCTGTGTATTATTTTTGTATATTTTTTCCTCAATATTTGACTTATACATTTGGAAATCAACTATAATTTTTTGTGAACGTTCTCAGTTCCATCAATTTCACTTTCAGTATATTTTTAGTACCTTTAGTATCTGCTGTGTGCAGAGCACTTTATTAGGCATGATGACATGTATAAATAAGGAGAAATAATTATTGCCATTAAGAAATTTGTAATTTTCAGTGATAATTTAAAAATTACAAAATCAACATATAAACCCAAATTAATGATGCATAAATGGTTCAACTGTGCAGCAACATATACTTTAAAAAGTTTTATGTCTTCTAGATGAAACAACAGGGAGTTGGTGGGCTACTCTGTGAAGGCTGGTTGGGACCTAACAGGAAAATGATCATTGTATTTGGGGGAAGCATCAGGATCATCAGGCTGGCTGGAGAGGAGGTGCATGTAGGGGGATGTTTGTAGATACATGTTAGGCCTTAACCGTGGAGGGACTGACACCATGCTGAGGCATTTTAACAATGAGAATAGAAAAACTGGCTCATGTTTATGTGCTGCAAAAGGGGCTTTGATAGTTTATCTTGCAGTTTATATTAGATAAAGGACCTCCGGTGAAGAGAAGGAATGTAAAGATGCCTCCCATGGTACTATGTGAGTTTGATAACAGTGGTCATATGGGGATTTTAAATTGAAATTCAATTTTCCCATATCACTATTAAACTAGATGCTATATGGGATAATGAATATGACATTAAAAAAAAGGAAGAGTTATGGAGAGAGATGTTGAATAATTCTCAGGAGGATGTAATTCTCAGGAGGAACAGGGTTGGGGATACTATTTATGTCCTCAGAAATTTATATAACAGTGCAAGATGTACATGTAATAAGAAGAGTAAATTTGAAGTCCTCACGATGAAGTGAAAATGAGTTCAGATGTATTATTCTCAGACTTAGTGGAATGGAAGGATGTACCTTGACCTTTTTCTAGTGAGAGAACTCCAGAGAGTACTTTATGGAAATTCACAAAACTAAGAGTGGAAGCATGATTCGTAAGGTCTTTCCAATAAAATTTAGTACTTTATTGAGTCAAATTTGAACATTGGGATTGTTTATTCATTTTTACCAGGGAAATGATCGTTTAAGCTTCTGTTAGAAGAATATTGACCTGGCTACATAGGTTAAAATGGGGAATCAATTGGAGATAGAGAAATAAGTTAGATGTCTAATTTAACAACAAGTAGAGTATTAAGTCATTGATGCAAAAAAGGCTATGGTAATTATAACTATCAATAAATTTTGTGAATGTATTATTAATTAAAATTCTTAGAATGAGGTGGTGAGAAAAGATGGAGATGCATCTCCTTTGTCTGAGCACCATTCATTTATTTATAATAGCTCAGCCATACTTAAAATGTTATCAGTTCTAGAAACCACACTGAAATATTGACCAAATCAATATGTGATTAAAAAAAAAACTGACCAAGATAACCAGATAACTCAGGACCATCTCATGAGAAATGTTTGATATATTTAGGTTCCAGATTGGTAGACTCAGTAGATATATGGCAATTATCCTAGCATTCAAAAATAGGAACTGCTCTCCTCTGAAAGAAAAAGTGCATGTGTGTGTGTGTGTGTGTGTGTGCGTGTGTGTGTGTGTGGTGTATTGCCAGACTCTAGGATCAAGACTAAAGACTGGAAACTACAGAGTGGGAAGTGCCTTGGCTTCATTTGGGGGAAAAACTTTCAAATGATGTGGGTTCCTTGCCAATGGACTGAATTGCTTTGTAAGGTAGTGGATTTCTCTTGATTGCAGTAATTCAAACATAATTAGACTACAGCTTGGTGGGAACTTTTCAGAGTATTGAAGTTTTGATTGTGTATGCGTTGGAGGAGTTGAAAAAATGTTGTACTAGGTACATTTAAGGCCCAAAGAATCTTGAGAATATGCTTTTAGGAGTGACAGGGGGAGGGAATGAAAAGAATCCCTTCTTCCTTTGTCCTTCCCTCTGCAGTCTATCTCCTTCCTTCCCTTCCTCCTTCTTTATTCTCTCAATTTGTTTCTTCCTCTCTTCTCTCCCTTTTTTCCTTCTTTTTTTCCTCCTAATTTCCCTTTCTTCCTTCTTCCCTCTCTTTCTTTATCCCTTCCTCCCTCCTTTTCTCTCCCCTTCTCACTTCTTTCCTTTTCCTCTTCCTAACTTCTCTTTTTCCTTACTTCCTTGAAAGTCTAATTTGTGCTAGACATTCTATTAAATACTAGAAAGTCAGTGAGGAGCAAAGCAGACATAACACCTGTTCTCATGAAACTTACTATTTTTTTGTAGATAAAATTAATAAACCCTTTTTTGGTAGATAAAATTATCAACTTGGATAAATTCTAGGAGAGAACAATGCATCTGTGCATATCAAGAGAATCATATGCTTTGAGAAAATGGGGAGAATTCATCAGGGAGAGAGGAAGGTGGGGGATATTTCAAAGAATGTATTGGGCATGGAAATGATTTGGTAAAGTCATTTGAAGTGAGAAAAGAGATTACAGATTATGCCAACTTTTTAGGTTGCAACTGAAAAAAGTCATTCACTTGAAAGAAACAGGGAAGATAGGAAGGAATGTTAGCTTTTAAATGAAGATGGTTAGGGTAGCTTTGATTTTGTTATAAAATGCTAACAGATTTGGTTTTCATTAATTGTTTTGGACATGCAAGTTCATAGTCATATGACATGCTTTCTTTTTTTATAGAGGAAATATACCTGCAGTTTGATGAACTTAACTTTATTTTGTTTTATTATTATTTTAAATCTTAATTCTCTACTGGCATTTATTTCTGGGCTAATTATAAAAAATCATAAAGTTTTATCTTTCATGATTACCAAAATCTACTGGAATTTTATGATTATTAAAAAAATAAAATTGAATTAAATAAAGAATTAAGTAGAAATAATGGCTTTGTAGCATTCAAAAGGAGATTCAAATTTAATTACTATTTATATCTATATTATTGTCATTATTGTCTGTGTATTTTTTCCCTGAGGTTTGGATCTAAACTAAAATTTAGATGATGAAAACATTATACACACAGAAAATTATGGGTCAGTTCTCTAAACATTATCAATGACATCAAAATATAAAAACCCTTTCACTATGGAAAATGGAAACATTTACAAAGAGAGAGACTAATATATGTACCCACAAAAATTAAAAATTAAAAAAACTAAGATAATGAACTTCCCACTGTCTTCATTACTCAGCTTCAATGATTCTCAACTTATTGTCAATTTTTTTCTTTCAATTTTTATTTTAGGTTCAGGGGTACATGTACAGGATTGTTACAGGGGTAAATTATGTGTTGCTGGTGTTTGGTGTACAAATGATTTCATCACCCAGGTAGTGAGCATAGTACCTGATGGGTAGTTTTTCAACCCTCACCTTTCTACCGGGTTCTCACTTCATGTAGGCCCTGATGTCTATTGTTCTCATCTTTCTGTCCATTTGTACTCAATGTGCAGCTTCCACTCCACTTATAAAAAAGAACCTGTAGTACTTGGTTTTCTGTTTCTGTGCTAATTCTCTGAGGATAATGGCCTCCAGCTGCATCCATGTTGCTGCCAATGACATGATTTCATTTTTTTTAAATAGCTGTTTAGTATTCACTGGTGTATCTGTATCACTTTTTTTTCTAGCCAGTCCATCATTGATGGGCATCCAGGTTGATTCCATGTCTTTGCTATTGTGAATAGTGTTGTGATGAACATACAAGTGCGTATGTCTTTGGTAGAACGATTTATATTCCTTTGGGAATATACCCAATAATGGGATTGCTGGATTAAATGTAGTTCTGCTTTAAGTTCTCTGAGAAATCTTCAAACTGCTTTCCACAATGGCTGAACTAATTTATATTCTCACTAGCAGTGTATAAACATTCTCCTTTCTCTACAGCCTTGCTAACTCCTGTTATTTATTTTTTACTTTTTAATAATAGCCATTCTGACTGGTGTGAGATGGTATCTTGTTGTGGTTTTGATTTGCATTTCTCTAATGATTAGCAATATTGAGCATTTTTTTATAAGCTTGTTGGCCTTGTATATGTCTTCTTTTGAGAAGTGCCTGTTCGTGTCCTTTGCCCATTTTTTTAAATGAGGTTGTTTGTTTTTTGCCTTTTGATTTAAGTTCCTTACAGATTCTGGATATTAGACCTTTACTGGATGCATAGGTTGCAAATATTTTCTCCCATTCTGTAGATTATCTGTTTACTCTGTTGACAGTTTCTTTCGCTGTGCAGAAGCTCTTTAGTTTAATTAGGTCCTACTTGTTTATTTTTTCTTTTGCTGCCATTGCTTTTGGAAACTTCATCATGAAATCTTTGCCAAAGCCTATGTCCAAAATGGTATTTCCCAGGTTTTCTTTTAGAGTTTTAGGTTTTATATTTAAGAATTTAATTCATTTTGAGCTGGTTTTTATATATGGTGAAAAGAAGGGGTTTAGTTTCAGTCTTCCACATATAGCTAGCCAGTTATACCAGAATCAGTTACTGAATAGGGAGTCCTTTCCCCACTGCTTGTTATTGTCAACTTTGTTGAAGATCAGATGGTCGTAGGTGTGTGGCTTTATTTCTGGGTTATCTAACCTTTTCCAGCAGTACCATGCTGCTTTGGTGTACTCTAGCCTTGTAGCATAGTTTGAAGACAGGTAGTGTGATGCCTCCTGCTTTTTTCTTTTTGCTTAGGATAGCTTTGGCTATTCAGGTTCTCTTCTGGTTCCATATGAATTTTATAATAGTTTTCTCTAATTCTATGAAAAATGATGTTGATATTTTGATAGAAATAGCATTGAATCTGTAAATTGCTTTGGGCAATATGGCTATTTTAACAATATTGATTCTTCCTATTCATGAGCATAGAATGCTTTTTCATTTGTTTTTGTTATCTCTGATTACTTTCAGCAGAGTTTGGTAATTCTCATTGCACAGAGCTTTTGCCTCCCTGGTTAGCTGTATTACAAGGTGTTTTTTTTTTTTTTTTTTTGTAACTGTTGTTATTGAATTCTTGATTTGGCTCTCAGCTTGGACATTATTGGTATACAGATATGCTACTTATTTTTGCACATTTGGTTTGTATTCTGAAAGGTTAATGAAGTTGTTTATCAGGTCCAGGAACTTTTTGAAAGAATATTTAGGGTTTTCTAAATATAGAATCTTATTATTGGTGAAGAAGGATAATTTTGACTTCTTATTTTCCTATTTGGATGCCTTTTATTTCTTTCTGTTATCTGATTTCTCTGGCTAGGACTTCCAGGACTTTACTGAATAGAAGTGGTGAGAGTGGGCATCCTTGTCTTATTCTATTTCTTAAGAGAAATGCTTCCATCTTTTGCCTGTTCAATATAATGTTGGCTGTGGGTTTATCATAGATGGTTCTTACTATTTTGAGATATTTTTTTTGATGCCTAGTTTGTTGAGAGTTTTAACATGAAGGGATGTGGAATTTTATTGAAAGTTTTTTCTGAGTCTATTGAGATGATCATGTGGTTTTTGTTTTTAGTTCTGTTCATGTAATGAATCACATTTATTGATTTACATATGTTGAGCCAACCTTGCATCCCAGGGATAAAGTCTACTGGATCATGGTGGATTAACTTTTTGATACACTGCTAGATTTGGATTGCTAGTATTTTGTTGAGGATTTTTGGGTCTATGTTCATCAGGCATATTGGCCTGAAGTTTTCTTTTTTCATTGTATCTCTGACAGCTTTTGTTATCAGAATGATGCTAGCCTTATAGAATGAGTTATGGAGGTGTCCCTTCTCCTCAACTTTTTGGAATAGTTTCAGTAGGATTGGTACCAGGTCTTCTCTATATGTCTGGTAGAATTCAGCCATGAATCTGTCTCATCTACGGCATTTTCTGGATTTTTTTTATTACTGATCAAGTTTCAGAACTTGTTATTTATCTGTTCAGGATAAATATTTCTTTGTTGGTCAATCTTCAGAAGTGTATGTTTTTAGGAATTTACCCATGTTTTTCTAGATTTTTTAGTTTGTATGCATAAAGGTATTCCTAATAGTGTTTTAGAGTTCTTGTATTTCTTTGGGATCTCTAATGTCCCCTTTGTCATTTCTGATTATGCTTATTTGGATCTTCTTTTTTTTATTTATTAATCTAGTTAGTGGTTTATCAATCTTGTTTATTTTTTGAAAGAACCAAATTTTGATTTTGCTGATCTTTTGTACAGATTTCATATCTCAGTTTCCTTCAGTTCAGCTCTGATTTTGGTTTTCTTTTCTTCTGCTAGCTTTGGGGTTGGTTTACTCATGTTTTCCTCGTTCCTCTAGGTGTGATGTTAGCTTGTTAATTTGAGATCTTCCTAACTTCTTGATGTAGGCATTTAACACTATAAACTTTTCTCTGAAAACTGCTTTAGCCGTGTCCCAGAGATTCTGTGATGTTGAATCTTTGTTTTCATTGGTTTCAAAGAATTTTTAAATTTCTGCCTTAATTTCACTCTTTGCCTGAAAGTCATTTAGGAGCAAGTTTGTTTACTTTCCATGTAATTGTATGGTTTTGAGAGCTCTTCTTGGTATTGATTTCTATTTCTATTGTACTGTGTTCTGCTAGTGTGATTGGTATGATTTTGTTGTTTTTAAGTTTGTTGAGAATTGCTTCATGGCCAAGCATGTGGTCGATCTTAGAGTATGTGCCATATGCAGATGAGAAGAATGTATATTCTGTTGTTGTTGGGTATTCTGTTGATGTCTGTTAGGTCCATTTGGTTAAGTGCTGAGGTTAGGTCTCAAATATCTTTGTTAGTTTTCTGCTTCAATGATCTGTCCAATACTGTCAGTGGAGTGTTGAAGTCTCCCATTATTATTGTGTGGTTATCTAAGCTTCTTCATAGGTCTCTAAGAACTTGTTTTATGAATCTAGGATCTCCAATTTGGGAGTGTATGTATTTAGGAGAGTTAAGTCTTCTTGTTGAATGGAAACTTTTATCATTATGCAATGCTCTTTGTCTTTTTTGATCATTGCTGATTTAAAGTCTGTATTGTCTGAAATAAGAATTGCAACCCCTCTTATTTTTTTGTTTTCTGTTTGCTTGAGTGATCGTTCTCTATTCCTTTACTTTCAGCCTACATATATATATATATATATATATATATATATATATATATATATATATATAAAATTTATGTGAGATGAATTTCTTGAATATAGTGTATAGTTGGGTTTTGCTTCTGTATCCAACTTGCCACTCTGTACCTTTTAAGTTGGACACTTAGCCCATTTATCTTCAAGGTCAATATTGATACGTGAAGATTTGATCTTGTCATGTTCTTAGCTAGTTGTTATATAGACTTGATTGTATAGTTGCTTTATAGTACCAATGTGATATGTACTTAAGTGTGTTTTTGTGGTGGCAGGTCTTACATTTCCATGTTTAGTGCTCCCTTTAGGACCTCTTGTAAACATAACTGATAGTAATGGATTCCCTTAGCATTTGCTTGTTTGAAAATGATTTTATTCCCCCTTCACTTATGAAGCTTAGTTTGGTTGGATATGAAATTCTTGGTTGAAGTTTCTTTTCTTTAAAGTTGCAGAATATAGGCCGCCAATCTCTTTTGACTTGTAAAGTTTCTGCTGAAAGTTTCACTGTTGGCCTGATGGGATTCCTTTTGTACTTAACCTGGCCCTTCTCTGTAGCTGCCTTTAACATTTCTTTCCTTTGCGTTGACTTTGGAGAATCTGATGACTAGATATCTTATCTTTTCTAGTATATTTTAAAGATTCTCTGAATTTCCTGAATGTGCATGCCTACCTGTGTAGTGAGGTTGGGGAAATTTGTGTGGACAATATCCTCAAATATGTTTTCCAAGTTGCTTGTTCTCTATCTCTTTCAGAAATGCCAGTGAGTCATAGGTTTGATCTTCTTACATAATCCCATATTTCCTGGAGGTTTGTTTTTTCATTTTTAAAAATTCTTAATTTTTTTTTGCCTGCATTGATTCAAAGGAGCAGTCTTTGAGTTTTGAGATTCTTTTCTCAGCTTCATCTATTTTGTAATTAATGCTTCCGATTGCATTATAAAAGTCTTATAGCAAATTTTTAATTTCCGGAAGTTCAATTTTTTTTTTTTTTTTCTTAAAATGGCAATGTCATTTTCCAGCTCTTCTATCGTTTTATTAGTTTCCTTGGATTGGGTTTCAACCTTCTCCTGTATCTCACTGGGCTTCTCCGCCATCCAGATTCTGATTCTGTGTCTGTCATTTCAGACATTTCATTTCTGGGGGAGTTATTGAGATAGTTTGTGGAGGTAAGAAGACACTCTGGCTTTTAGAGTTGCCAGAATTCTTGTGCTGGTTCTTTCTCATCTGTGTTCACTGATTTTCCTTTACTTTTTGACATTGCTGTCCTTTGGATGAAGCTATTTGCTTTTATATTCTTTGATGTTCTTGAGGGTTTGAAGGCAGTATAAATTGTGTTTAGTTGATTGACTTCATTTCTGGATGCTTTCAGGAGGCCAAGCCTCAGCTTAGCACTCCTGAGCTTCATGCTAATGCCTTGGGGACTGGGACTGGGCATATGGCTTTGTTCTTTGACCTCTCGAGGTCAAACACTTTCTGCACTGGAAGGACTGGGGTGTTCCCAGACTGCTGGCAAAACACTCTGATGGGGGCTGTTGACAAAAGTGCTCTGGTTGTGGGGGCAGGGTGCCACAGGAGAATGTCTTGAAGTAGGGGGCCACCAGAGAGTGCACACTAGTGGGGCGATGGTGTGAGGTGCAGACAAATGAAAACCAACAGGGCAGCGGGGAGCCACTGGTGTGTATGCAGTGGTGGAGCATTATTGTCAATCTTTCTTTATCTGTACCCATATCCAAGTCCCAACGCCCAAATTATTTTGATGAAAATATCAAAATCATATCATTTCACCTGGAAATATTTGTACATACCTTTAAAAGACAAACAGTCTTTAAATATATATCCATGATCATAGTAATATACTACACATTAAAAATAATTCTTTGATGAGGTAAAAGTGGAACCACATTTTCAAAGTTGCTATTGTTTTAAACCTTTGAAAATTTAATAGCATAGTTGACACATTTGACATTAGATGACATCAAGCTGGAACATTTTCAGTTTTCCCTCTTAGTATAGAGACTTTGATTTGTACCTGAAGTAGCTGAAGCCATTGACACTTGGTCAAAGATTTTCCATCACGATGGTGTGAATATCCAGATAGCCCAATACCAGTAAAGGTCATTTCAAATTAAGCCCCATTCTATTCACGTGAAGAATTAACTGTATTGGGGGGCCGAGGCGGGTGGATCACCCGAGATCAGGAATTTGAGACCAGCCTGGCCAATATGGTGAAACCCCGTCTTTACCAAAAATACAAAAAAATTAGCCAGGCGTGGTGGCGGGCGCCTGTAATCCCAGCTACTCCAGATGCTGAGATAGGAGAATCGCTTGAACCCGGGAGGTGGAGGTTGCAGTGAGCTGAGGTCATGCCATTGCACTCCAGCCTGGGAAACAAGAGTGAAACTCCGTCTCAAAAAAAAAAAAAAAAAAAAGAATTAACTGTGAAAGATTTCATGAGTAAGGCATCACAGGAAAGGGGTCTTGGCTAAGAAGCTGATTTGTTACAAGCAGCTTCAAGCAACAGTTTGTATCCTTACGGGCTGAGTTAGGAGACTCTCAGTTGGAGTCTCATTGTGGTTACAGTCAGGTGCCAGTTTGGCCGGAGTCATCTGGAAGCTTGGTGTGCCTGAGTGTCCAAGATGGACTTTTCTCTTATATGTCCCATATCTCCTCTCGAATGGCTGAAATAGCTGGGGATCAGCTGGTGTCTCTGTCTCACCACCCAGCCTAGGTTAGTTTGGGTTTCCTCACAGCTTGATGGTCTTGGGGTGGATTTCTGACCTGACAGCAGTGTTCCTCAACAGTGAGTGTTCCACGGATGTCAGGGAAAATTAAGTTCTTTTGACCTAGCCTGAGAAGTCACATAGTACCACTTCTACCTTTTTCTTTTTTTTCTTTCTTTTTCTTTTTCTTTTTTTTTTGAGACAGAGTCTCTCTCTGTCGCCCAGGCTGGAGTCCGGTGGCACGATCTCGGCACACTGCAAGCTCTGCCTCCCGGGTTCACGCCATTCTCCTGCCTCAGCCTCGCAAGTAGCTGGGACTACAGGCTCCCGCCACCACGCCCGGCTAATTTTTTTTGTATTTTTAGTAGAGACGGGGTTTCACCGTGTTAGCCAGGATGGTCTCGATCTGCTGACCTCGTGATCCGCCCCCCTCGGCTTCCCAAAGTGCTGGGATTACAGGCATGAGCGACCGCACCTGGCCCACTTCAACCTTTTTCTATTTGCCGAAAGCTAGTTACAGGCAATCCAAGATTCAAAGAGAGGGGCATAAATATTGGGTGGCAAGCTTCAGTGAGGGACTTCTTTGGAGCTACCACAGTATTTTATGTATCAAATTATTTTTACACATCCTTACTATCTCCTCTCTATGCCATAGAAATTTTTATATTTGATTTTTTTTGACAGGTTATTAAGGATCCTCCACCACCACCCGCCCCTGCACCAAAAGAGGTAAGTGAGTGCCTAAAAAACTGATATGGCTGTTTTTTTTTTCCAAATGCAGATACCATGCCCAAATTTAATCAATTTTGTCTGTTAGATAACTATGATACCTATGTACTGACTTTTTAATTTATACAAATCAGTGGTTATTTTTCATCCTCTTATGATTTATTTCATGTGCTAGAGGAATGGGAACTTCATACATTACTAGATATAAACTGGCCATTGGAATCAATAGTACATAAAGATTTAATATACTTTTATAGTACTATATCAACAGTTCTGATATCACTTATGTTATTGACAAAAAACATCCAAGCTGACAGTTGAAAGATCCTATTACTTTCTTCAAAATTCTTGGTGCTTTTATATGATTCTGTTAACCAGAATCATGTTAGGAACATGAAATAAGGAATGTGCTGGTGTTGTATATTTTCAAAGCTTCTCAACTGCCTATCTTTTCAGTTCAAATTTCATAGAGTCCAAACCTACACACACATTGATGCTTTAATGACTGTTAAAATGCTGTCCTAATTTAATATTTTATCTTTCTAAGTATGAAGTGATGAATAGATTTGAAATACCAAATGATTCCCATAGTTAAAGAACAACTTCTAGTTACCTAGGGATGATGTAAGAGAGATTCCTGAAATTTGAGGAGGGAAAGGAGTTCTCATATCCTGTAGAACTCCACTTGAAATTTATGCATGTAAGTGTAAATATATCCACATGTTCTATACATAGTTTTTTCCATAGTAATGACATAATTCAGAAAAATATTTAAATATGAGCCAGTTCCGACTAAACAGTATTTTAAGAAATTAATTAAAAACTATTTATAAAACATATTTCCACAGGAGGAAGAAGAACCTTTGCCTACTAAAAAGTGGCCAACTGTGGATGCTTCCTATTATGGTGGTCGAGGGGTTGGAGGAATTAAAAGAATGGAGGTTGGTATCTTAAAAAAAAATAGAAGCTGCTAATCTGGAGTATGTATTTCTAGGGCTATTAAGCCATAGAAACTACTTTTCACAATTCAATATTATAATATCATCCATTTGTGCTTAACACTGGGTCTTTTCTGGATACATTTTTTTTTCTATGGAATCATCCTAGCCGCTGCAAAACTGGCCTAGAAGAACTGGTTTCATTAGTCAAAGGATTGCATTGATAAGACCTCTGAATTCTAAGGGACAAAACAAAGCTAGGGTTTTTCTTATTTTGGAAAAAATTACCGCATAGAACGTCAACTTTGAAGAAGCCAGCCACTTCAAGTTGCAACAATGTTCTTCTTTGTAAAGATCCAATAGTTATCTACTATTTGAGAAGAAAATGTTAAAATATTCAATAGCGTGGATCTGACTTTATCACAAATATAGAGGAAGCACATTTAATACTTTATGTTAGTTGCCACTTATGAACTATTGTAATTGATATTATATATCATTTATAGAATGCATTGAACTTTCAGACTAGCCCAAAGTGTTGATTAAAATTGAACTTTAATATTATATCTTAAAAGTCAAATAAGATTTTATTATCACCATGAACTATTTTTTCAAAGTGATATATTATTTAGTAATAAGCAATTATTACCAGCACTGAGCTCTTAACAACAGTATAAACAGGCCTGCATCCCATCCCAAGGAGCAATTCAAGGGATTTTTTCATGAACACATTGACTTTATTATTAAATTCTGGCATTCCTTCCTTTTTAGTCATAATTTTCCTTCTGATTAGAATGTGTTTTATGCATTTTACCATTGTTGCACGTTTCCTATTGTCATATCTGCTTTGTGCCAGCAAAAATTGATAACCTAATGAACAACCCCACAATTATTGCAATTTTCTCCTTTTATACATTACAATAAAATTCAGATTCCCAAGGAGAGTTTCCCCTTTTCAGAATAAATTTTACTCTTCTTCAGAAAAAGCCCAGACATACTGAACATGGTTGTCATTAGCAAAGTGTTTATATAGGTCATCTGACAGTGATTCTTACTTTTCTGGACCACATTAGATCTTGAAGCAATGGACATTTTCCCTGAGAGCTTGCCCTTTATTGTTGAAATATCCTCTGAGGCAGATACCTCATTGCCAATTATCCATGATTATAAACAGTTGCTAGATGCAGTTAAGCTGTTCTTTGGAGAAGTTATTGCATGTATTTTTGTGTGCTAGAAACTGAGAATAGCAAACAATATAAGAGAGCATGGCTAGGCAAGTTCTTGTTGTTTGACACAGAAGGAAGGTTATTTTCCTTTCTTACCTTTGTTGTGTCATTCTAGACTTGGAAAGGTGGGAAGAAAGTATATAGGATGTTCCTATATGTATAAAACATACACTTCGAAATAAAAGTGTTACAATCAAATATCCAAATACGATCTGTAACAACTTATTTTTATTTGATTTCATCTCATTCCAAAATGTGTGTGTAAAAAGATCTATATAACGGGGAAAAAAGGCTTGATAGAATATACCAAAAATGTGAGTAGGTTTCTCTGGATGGACAATTTTCAATCTATGCTATATATTTCCCTATTGTTTAAATGTATTTGACAGTGAGCATGTACTACTTCATATTCAGAATAATAAACTTAATGCCATTTTGAAATTCACTCATGTAAAATATGGCATGATAATAAAGTAAGGATATTAGTATGTGAGCCTTAATTGAATAAATAATATTCTTGCTTTAAAAAACTAGGAATATGTCAGATTTTTGTTAGTTCAATATTCCAGTGTTCCAAAGATTGAGATCTCTTTTTAAAGGAAAGGAAATGTGTGAGTGAGCCCCTGAATGGGTCCTGAGTTAAAAGGAACATTATTGGTTTATATTT